>NC_000006.12:1726666-1878181 GCF_000001405.40 Homo sapiens | reverse complement strand
CACCACGCCTGGCTAATTTTTTGTGTATTTTTAGTAGAGACGGGGTTTCACCATGTTAGCCAGGATGGTCTCGATCTCCTGACTTCGTGATCTGCCCACCTCGGCCTCCCAGAGTGCTGGGATGACAGGCGTGAGCCACCGCGCCCAGCAGGACTTCTTAAAGAATGACATTTCTACATACAGTTATATGTTACATCTCCTCATACCAAGGATGTAGCCAATCAAATGGCCAAGAGGGCTGAAGAGAGCACATAGGTGTGGCTAACCTCTAAATCTTAAAAGTTTGCTTCAAATAGCAAAAATATTTTGCTTTTAGATCATATAATTTGTATAATTTTACTTTCCAAATGAAGCATCTCTCAGAAAATGTGAAATTCCACTGACCCCCATATCCTGGGATGTACATATTTAAGATCCCTTGTGCCAGGTGGCCAGAGAAACAACGCAGCTGCCAACCTTTTCATTCTTTAAATGTCTCTTCAGTGTATTACAAATAACCTGTATTGGACCTGTCTTTTTTTTTTTTTTTTTTTTTTTAATTTTTGAGATGGGGTCTCACTCTGTCATCCAGGATGGAATACAGTGGTGCAGTCATAGCTCACTGCAGCCTCAAATTCCTGGGCTCAAGTGATCCTCCCTCCTCAACTTCCCGAGTTGTTGGGACTAAAGGGACACACCGTCACGCCTGGCTAATTTTTATTTTTTGTAGACATAGGATCTTGCTATGTTGCCCAGGCTGGTCTCGAACTCCTTTCCTCAAGCAATCCTCCCACCTTGGCCTCTCAAAGTACTGAGATTACAGAGGTGAGCCACCATGCTCTGCTGGATGTATCTTAATTGTAAATTTTTCCTCCAAAATGCACTTTTTAATGGATATCTAAGGTCTGAAGAGGAAAATGGAAGACTTGACAGAAGAAGGTGTACCTTCAATCCTTCCCTTTTTTTGGCCTCTTTTATATTTTCCACCAGTGGTTCAACTGAACATCTGGGAATCAACAGCACACCGAGACTTCTGTGCCTCTGGCTGTTAGATGGAAGAAATGTTATGTGAATTCATTCCCTTCCATCACCGGGTGGGACGTGGTGGTCAGCCCCAGCAGGCAGATTTCCAAGGTGACACTGAGGAGGGAAAAAAGTCTTACCCTGCTGTCCACCAGCATGTCAGAGACCAGAGCCAGAACTTCTGAGAGCACCACAGTTCCAAAACAAAGGAGATACAGGATGTCAGATCACACTGGTGTTTCAGCCATAACTGTTCTCAGGGCATTTTTTAACAATGTGGTCACTTTCTCCTGGTTTGTCCACTGTAGGAAGGGGTAAAGATGATCAGAGAACCTCTTTACATAGGAGAATTAATTGTCTTATTTTTTACTAGAAATCAAAAAGGAAGGAAACATTTTATTTTATGGTATATTCCAAATAAAAGTTCGTTGAACTAACAAACAGAAATGTCCCACATCTAGCATTTATATTGTATTTATATTTATATTGAGTTTCCAGAAGGCTTTCCTATGAATAACCTCCTTTCATCAGTTGTCACAATAGCACAAGTTAGTATTGTTATTACCATTTGAAGTGAGGGAGATAAAGATCCCAGAAGTTCAGGAATTGTCTAAGAGCTAGGCATGAACCCTCGTCTTTCTACTCAAACCTCCTCTCTTTTCTACCAGCCAAAGAGCACAGCCTCCTGACAACCTGGGCATAAGTTTAGTTCTTTAACAAATCACCACATTTATTTTCAGAGCCTAGTTATTATATCGTAAGGATTACATCCTTAGGTTAAAGAATGTATAAATCAATAAATTATCTCTTTTATGTTTCACTTCAAACACGTCTTTTTTTCTCATCACCTTCAGCTCCCGAGCATAGCAGAAAACATAGTTAGAAAGTGTCCTTTCCGGTATAACAGAATTTTTTTTTTTTGAGACAGAGTTTCGCTCTTGTTGCCCAGGTTGGAGTGCAGTGGTGCGATCTCGGCTCACTGCAACCTCTGCCTGCCGGGTTCAAGCGAGTCTCCTGCCTCAGTCTCCCTAGTAGCTGGGATTACAGGTGCCAACCACCACACCCAGCCAATTTTTTTAACATAATTTTTTAAAATGAAGATATAGTAGAAGACTGCATTATTTATGCTCACATTTTTTTTCTTTTCTTTTCTTTTTTTTTTTTGAGATAGTGCTCTCTCGTTGCCCAGGCTGGAGTGCAATGGCACGATCTCGGCTCACCGCAACCTCTGCCTTCTGGGTTCAAGGGATTCTTCTGCCCCAGAGTAGCTGGGATTACAGCCATGTGCCACCATGCCTGGCTAATTTTGTATTTTTAGTAGAAACGGGGTTTCTCCATGTTCGTCAGGCTGGTCTCAAACTCGTGACCTCAGGTGTTGCGCTGCCCTCAGCCTCCCAAAGTGCTGGGATTACGGGTGTGAGCCACCACACCCAGCTATGCTCACATATTTTTAAACATGTGATTAACAATGTGCTATTATTATTTTGAGTAAATTTAATATATGACAATAGAAATTGTGAAAATATTTGGCAGTATTACAAGGATAAAAACCCATTGAAAACATCTTGACATACAAGATAGTGACTTTAAGAATAGTGATAAGAATATTAAAATCTGGCAATTTCTTAAGATTTTGAATCTACCAATATAATTCTGATGTTTAAAGGTTTTGAGACAGTAATATATAGTGCTGTGGGTTTTATTTGTGTGTCGGCGGGGGAGTGTGCTACAATTTTTCTGTAATACATCTTGTGGCACTTATACATGTTTGAAATTTTTTTTAAATTCTAACATTCAGAGAGTTTGTTGATACATATCTTTCCAGTCCGTGTGTGTGTGTGTGTGTGTGTGTGTGTGTGTGTAAATACAAAAAAAGACTTCAATATAAAATGTATTTGGTTAAATCAGAGTTATTCAAATATGTGAATATCTCAAATCAGAGATATTCAAATATTATAAACATCAAAATTGAGGTTCTCTTAATTTAAATTTATTAACTTCAAAGGACTTGTTTGAATAGAACTCTATTGGATATTATTCTTTTTATTTTGAATTTTATATACCCAAGAATAGGTAACCCAAATAGGGGGCAGTCCCATGTTTTCCAAATGAGAAGAAACAAAAAAATATTCTAAGCCAACTGAATATTTAAACTTTTAAGAATGTGGACAAAATAGTCAAGTGACTTTAAATGTTTAATTTACTGAATAGCTACGCATACATTTGTAAAATAACATTAAAATATTTCCAAACATTGGGGTTTTTTCTTCTCGCATTTTGAAAAACAATTTTATTCAGTATCCTTTAACACATCCTCATCATCTGTGTCTTTATTACTACGAGACACTTTTTGGTCATCTGTTTTCTAGAGCACATTTTCACACAGGGCTTTCACATCCATTGCTAGTGCTGCCAAAGGGAAGTCCATCCCAAGCCATGAGTCTTCAGCGCATATATGAGGACTTGTGCTGATGTATATTATATATACGTATTTTATATATACACATGTATATTAAATATTGTCATGCTTCCCCTAGCTTCCTAATGTATTGCTTTTTTAAAGGGTTACTGACATATAACTCTTATAAGAGCATACTCAGGATAACGACAGCTACATTTTTATCTCTTGTTTTGAAGAGATTGTCGTGTGTGACCCTTGAAGCATGGAAACTAGGATTAATTAATGTTATTTCAAACTATCATGTCCTCTCTCTCCACCACTCCAACGTAGTACTTAGTTCTTCAAAATAATATAATTGAGAAATTGCCCCATAATACATGGGATTTTGATAGTACTTGAGTATAAGGGGACCAACTCTCTTTTTACTAAGGAGTATTAGGGAGGAAAAATGGAAAGTGTAAACCACAACTTAAATGTTCACTTCTCCACCGTTTTTTCTATACTATCTGTTGATTTTCACATTTCTTTCTACCAGCCTAACATTTCTTTCATTAAACTTTTCTATATAATCAAAATAACAAACTTGAAACTCCATCAAGCCACAGTGAAAAACTAAAAGTGAAGTCAAGAACAGAGTGACTCCTAGCACCGGAGGCCAAGTGGCCGTGCAGTCCCCGTGGGGTGGCACGCCTCCAAGCAGGTCGTCTCTGGAGGCCGGTGCCCTGTTCGAGGCAGTGGTCACCCTTCCTCCCACTGGTCCGTCTGCCTCCTGCAAGCTGTAATTACACCACGGCCCTAATACAGCTGTGGCCTTTGGGGAACACAAAGGCACAATCGATTGATTGTTTCATGTGAATAAAGCGAGTGTGTGGTATAAGAGGATTTGATGAGTTGTGGTGGGTTTCTGGTGCTTTGGTAGAGGTTGGCACTTGTCTTTTCTTAGGAAATTGTGGCCCCATCCAAACAGGGTAGGGTGTTGTGTTTTCCTGCTGTCACCAGCTTCTCCTCTTGATTAAGCTTGTCTTTCACCAAGCTGGCGTTACTGAAGTACTTGAAATCACAGATAAAGAGGATCTTTACTGCTTAAAAATTTAGTGCACTGATATGGTATTTGGGTCTCAGCTTTTTACATAGCAAAATCTTCATTTTCCTGTCTTTTTCAGTCCTTCAGTCTTAGTGCTAGTTTCTTCAGTGCTGCCTGAATATTGTGGACAATAATAAAATTACCAAGTATGTCAGCTGGCATTTCATTTCTCAGTGTCTAAGCTTGTTGTGTGCCCTGTTTCCAGGGAAAAAGTGGCCCCAATATAGGCATCCTTCTGGGAAGCTGTTGCTCAAAATTCCATTCCCTTATTGCACAGTTTAGTTGTGGCATTGCACTCTTCTTCCAAAGGTGGGGCAGGATGGTTGGCGATGGAATTAAGGATGTGGATGTGGATCCAGCCCAAGTGAAAATTTTCTGAAGGAGAAGCGGTGGGAGGAGGTCAAATGCAAACACCGTCTGACAGGCAGCAATGTTGCAATGCATAATCATAATCTTTAGGACTGGTATAGATAACCCTTTTCTCTTCAAAGCATTTTGCTAACATTTAGTTCGTTAATTCTACCAACAGCCCTGTAGGGAGATAAGTTTTTATTATAATAGCTTCACGTTGCCTTTAAAGAACTGGGCGACTTGCCGAATGCCACCTGGGCTGTCCCTCACTGTCTAGGTGTCTCTATCTTTCCTGTGAAACAGTTCACGCAGACTGACGAAAGAGTGGGGATTTCAGCGGTTCCCAGAAACCTGTGTGATACAGGAATCTACTGCCACTTGTTGCTCTAGAAAATACCATGCCTCCTGCTCCTGCAGCCCTGTGGCTGCTTACAACAGCAAGGCGCAGAGACTGAAAACTTGTAAACAGCTGTCGGGGGCTGGGGGCGGGCAGAGTGTAACAGAATAGGCTGCCAAATTCCTGACTGCCATATGTGCTGTGTAATACTTGTCATCTCAAGTGAGTCATTAAAAGGTTTCCCCTTAATGGGGCTTTGAAGTGCTGGGACAGCTTGAGCGCATCTATAAATTGCCACAAACAGCCCTCTGACCGAGTTAGCTAATTGCTTGCTCTTTGACTTATTAGGATCAACTGAGTTAAATAATTTGTCACATGTGTGGCTCGTAATAAATAATGTGACTAGCCAGTTTGTGGGCTGTTTCAGTGATATATTGTACCCCTTTTGGACGTTGTCACAAGTAGCTGGCAAATGTGGGCTATTTTATCCATAGGACTATCATATCCCTGCAAAAAGAGTTAGTTCTGACAGAGCGATTGGGGAAAAAATGCTAAAAGGAGTCTAGTTACTAACAAATGTGTTCAGTTCTTCAACCTTTCCATAAAGCATAACTATCATTTTTCTTGGCTATTGGGCACATACATCAGACATCATGCAAGTCATAGGCAAAAGAATAGAAATTATAAGTACTGAATTATTCTAGTTCATATAGACTGAATTATTACAGTTAAAATATTATCTGTTCCCTTTGTGAAAACAAGCAATCCCTGCTAGCCAGCCCGGTGGATGTGCTCGGCCCAGCTACGCTCAGCACTGCATTCCGGCCAGTGTTTGTGCTGTGGGCTGTGCCAAGGGCATTGTTGTCTACTGCCAGAAGACAGGGAGGGTGACAACTGGGATAGAGAGGACCATGGATGAGGGAAAGATTAATTTGAAAGAGGGGATCTGAGAAAGTAATTGTCCAGTAATAGGGAAAGGAGGATGCTTTGCTAGCCAGAAGTTAGAATTAAGTGCTTCTCTTGCCTAATAAATAATCTGTTGACTGTAGGTGCTCACAGCGTCTCACAGAAAGAGGATAGTGCCAGCACATCTGGGCTGGCTGGCTTTGATAGCAGTATCTTCGTCCTCATTCACAAAAGAGAAAAGAAAAGAAGGCAAGTAACTTGCCGTGCTGTTAATGTGAACTATGCTCTTGTAGAAAGTATTATTATGTGAGTAACAGGAAAATAATTGAGCCGTTTGTAACTGTTTTTAAAAAATCCTTACAAGAATACATCATAATTGGCTTTCCTTACTATTCACAACAGCAGCTTAGGACAGAATTTTGTCGTATTTAGCATGGAACAAGTATCAAGTATGTTTAAAACAAGGATCATTACGTTTTTCTATTATAAAATTGGTAGATGAACCCTTTTATTATTTCATGAAAAAAAGTAATTTCTGTAACAAAGAAGGATAGAAAAATTCCAGTTTACCAAAGGTTGCTTTCAACTCCTCATGTCAGGGAACATCATTTATTGTTATTTATTTGATTGTGTTCCCTGAAGTACTCAATTGAAATAATAATGGCCTTAACTCATATTTTTACAGCAATTTTTAAAATTAAAATATTACATTCTCTGTAGACGTCATTTCAAAATTAATGTTCTTTCACTATTTAATGACCTACTCTTTTTCTTTCCTTAAACGTATTTACGTAGGTTTTTAATATATCTCTATGCTTGCACATTATCACTGAGACAACAGGCAATAAAAATGCCAGAACGTCTCAAACAGTGAGGCCGAGAAGTCACAAACAGGTCCCAGCTGGAGGGTCCCCCAGCTTGTTCTCCCCTCCCCTTTCTGGCCAGCCCCTTTTAACCCTTGGTACTCGTTAACTCTCCTTGTGGATGTTCAGAGTAATTAGACAGTGGTTTAAGTGTGTGTGTGTGTGTGTGTGTGTGTGTGCTGGGGGATAGTGATATGGATGGGTGGATGCAGTTTGGAAAGGAGAGGCATTTCTCTCTAATTAGCGGAAGCCACCCAAACCTCGATTTGTTTCATATGCAAAATAGTAAATGTCTGCAGCAGACCCAGACACCTATCTGGCATTTGGAACAGGTGACATTATTAGTTCCCTGGGCCCTGTTTGTGTTTACTTTTGTTCACATAAGTTAATTAGCTGGTTTTAAAAAAGTATCATTTCTGCCTTCTGAAGAAATAAAACTTTACTCTCTTAATATGGCTTAATTTAATAGTGTGTGTTTTGCATTTGTTTTGGATATTATTTCTAAGTGACATCTTAAACTTCATAGGTGTGTCTTGGGCGTAACAAAAGTAATTATTCTATTAAAAAGAGTACGTATAAGGAAGAGTATATTTAAAGATATTTATCTCAAGATAACTAGCACTGAACTAAGTAGCTCCTTCCCTTAAAAGACAAAATGTGCTGAGACTGTACTCACACAGCCAGTCTGAGGCATCCGAAATCACAAGCAAAGAGCCTCTCTGGTGATGTGGCTCGGACTGTTTTGCAGCTGTGCTTGGTGTGCGGGTGTGTAGGTGTTTGTGGGGCTGGGGTGGGGGAGGAAGATTGACATTGTGGCTTGATTGGCACAGGCATATATCATGCTTCTAAGGGTTGGGCGTATCTTCGTTGCTGAAAGTACAAGCTGGATGAAGTGCTCATCCTTAGCTCTTCTGGAAGAGCTCATAGAATGGATCTCCTAGTTTCTTACTCAGTGTCCAGTGACATAGCTGTCACCACCAAGTGCACTTCTCTGTACAAACCTGCCGTATTGATCATGGGGTGTCATCCAGCACTGAGGAGCAAGGAGGGACAGAAAGAGGAAAATGACATTAAAGGGCCACTGAATTAAAGCCTTCAACTCAAGTGCCAGAGACACCGTGCTGGCAGACGCCAGCCCTGTGTGGCTCTTGTCCTGGCATGGTCTTCCTATCTGCCCAGGAAGGCAGGCCCCAGGCACAACCTGTGAGAGAACAGGCACTGCCTACTTGGGGAGAATGGACAGCAGACAGTCGTGGTCTGAGCCGTCTCAGCTGTACCCACCCTGCGGCAGAAGGACCCCTCCAGGCATGCAGGGCTGTTTGGCTGCCCTCTCCTGTCCAGAGTGTGTGGAAAAATATGCCAAGAAATTAGTCTCCCTGCTTTTGTAACAGTAGCACATCCAGGAGGAAGAGCCAGGGATCAGTGGGTCCTCCACAGAGTGTGAAGGGGACGCCATCCACTAAATGTTCCTTTTCCGCACTGTGGTCCCAAACACTGGGTTCTGTGCCGATTTCTTTTTTATTTTTTAACAGTAAAAGTTTCTTTCTGCCTGTGTTTTTGCTACTTACTTTCCTCCCTTGCTGAGAAGCAGAAGTAAAATGGTCGCAGGTTTTTCATTATTTCTAACCATTGTCAGAAACTGCCTGAATATCTGAAGGCTGTGGTTCTTATGCAGATCAACAGTTCCAAATACCTGAATACCAGACATTGACCAGGAGCTAGACCTTGACAGCCCTTCAGCTCCTGCCACAAGTGAGTCTGAAGTAATTGCTGTTGAAAGAATGACCCCATGCCACCCTCTTCTTTGCTGTCTAAACCCTCAATCGGCCTCAAATTAGATCACCATAGAGAAACATACCTGGGCCACAGATGGATCACCTCCTCCTCTCATTGTGGCCTGCCTGTGACTTACGCCCTTGATTTTTATTTAGGAACGCTATTAAAAAAATAGGAACAAAGAAAGGAACAATCTACGACTTTGAAAACCTTCCCACTTGTGTTCATCAGTATCCATGTATGAGACCTTATGTACCTAGTGCCAGAGAAAAGCATTACCTAAAGAACTAGTATTTTTCTTTTATACAAGCAGCGTGAGCTATCTCCCCCAGTAGAGCCTTTTCCTGCTGCAGTTGCCTCATCTTCTCAGAGAGTGACAAGATGGTGCTCATAAGCTTTAACCATGCTATGCAAAGCTCTGGGGCATTTCCCCACTGTCACGGATGGTTTCATATCCCTATTTTAATATTTCTTTTGCACTTTATTATTTCACTTGTACGTGTTCACATTGTAAGAACATATTAAATCATTTTTAGAAGGAGAGTAGATACAAATTATGAGTAATTCATTAAAATAAATATTTTAAACATATTCATAATTTTCTGATTTCAAATAATGTACAAATAATGCCTTATAAGATTCTAAGTTATAGAACTACTTGATCTGGATATTGAGCCTCTGAATTCACAACCATACATAACATATTCAGCACATTCTGGAGTCACTAAGCATTTACTTGTAACCTTTGCAGCACATTATACTGGGACGAGCCCTACACTTGAGTTCAGAGATTTAGGAATGAATCCCAACTATGCCACTTTGGTGACTTTGAGATAAAATTTTTCATCTGTAAAATTCTTAAAGAATACTAAAAATTATTAAATAAAGTAAGAAATATAGACACGCCTACCTCAGTGCTCTGCAGAATATGGCTCTCGATTTCCTTCCATCCACTTGTGCTCCCTGAATGTGAGGCAGTCTTGTGATGAAGGGTCTGGGAAACTAAATGCATTCAACCGGGATCACTGCGGTCCTCCTTGGTTCATCCATGTATGTATTTACTCCATATTTACTTCATCCATGTAGGAAAATATGTTCCAGGTTACCTGATTAGACACTTAGAATAGACTGGTGAAGAAACATAGTGGGTAAACATGATGACAGAACAGCTGTTGAGGGCCGGGTGCGGTGGATCACGCCTGTAATCCCAGCACTTTGGGAGGCCGAGGCAGGCAGGTCACAAGGTCAGGAGTTCGAGACCAGCCTGGCCAATATGGTAAAACCCCATCTCTACTAAAAATATAAAAATTAGCCAGGCGTGCTGGCGGGTGCCTGTAGTCCCAGCTACTCAGGAGGCTGAAGCAGGAGAATAGCTTGAACCCGGGAAGCAGAGGTTGCAGTGAGCCAAGATCGTGCCACTGCACTCCAGCCTGGGTGACAGAGCGAGACTCCAGGGAAAAAAAAAAAAAGAACAGCTGTTGAGAAGGAAAGTCAGCATTTAGGAGCCTCCCTTCCTAGGATCATCTGTTGGGGGAAGCACCCATCCACAGACACGAGGAACACCTACAAATAACACAGGAGTGTTTCTTGTACCTCCAAAACTCCTGCCTTCTATTACCAGTATTCCTCAATGTGTGTTTTCTTTATCATTTTACCTCTCAATTTTAACTTTTATTCTGATTTGTTTTCTGAGACTTTTCTTTTGATTTACTGACTTACTAAACATCTTAGTCATGCTTATGAATAATTTACAATTACCTAATTAATAGAGGGAAATTTTCTCATATCTCCCTATCCTCTAAGATATTTATCCACTTGTTTCTAGAGATCCCTGTGACAGGACCTTCTTCAGTGCTTAGGGAATGTCCAGGGGTCCAGCTTTTGGCTGGGTAGGTGTCAGTAAGCTGGTGAGTGTTAGGATGAAAACATTCTGGTAGTCTGTGTCTACAATGTTGTAAAATCCAGATAAATGGATTCTAGATTTGTACAAATTGCTCCTGTCTATATTTGCCTGCACACTCTATCACATCTGTCAGACTGACATCATCCTACCGATCGTTACCTTTTTAAACACACACCTAATTGTTTGTATTGCCCTGTAGTAGTATAAGTAAAATATGTTTTCGTTAATATTTCACAAAGGAAAATAATTTCTTTTTAGAAAATGTTTAAAAAGACTTATTTAACTACTTTTAAAAGTAATCCTTAGTTGACCCTATTAGCATGTCATATAAGAATATGCAGTATGTGAACATTTTCACTTTTAAAATGGTCACAATTTACAACTTTTTTGAGTTCAAAGTAACTTTTGCATTTATTAAAGATTTCACCAGAATTGATATCATCAGAGTGGAATACAATGAGTCTCTGTAAATTATTGTCAGTGAATTGGGAAATGTAGCTAAATATATCCATGTAATTTGTCAGGAGCATAATTTTTACATAAATTGAAATGTAACACTGATTGTTTTAACTTTTTAAAAATTGTTGTCGATTTAAAAGTTAACAAAACAGTCAATTATAAACCAAGGAATATATTGTTGTTATCATCCAGTGAGCATGGTGTGTGTCAGATGATTCTCCTTCCTGAGCAGGACTTGAGCAAGCATACTGTCCATGCTGTATGTGCTGACCATAGGGATTTAGGGGTACCCCGGGGGGGCACTGTGTGGCAAGTGTACTCCCAAGGTTCAGCAGCATCTGCTCACCTAGCAGGCTTTCTGCTCTTTTCTGGGATGTTGGTGCTGTAGTGTGGCCCAGAGCTCTTCACCAAACACAGTGCATGCATTACCTTTTTTAAAAATAAAACTTTTATATTGTAACTACTACATTTGTAAAGGTTAATTATTTTGTTTTTCTTGGTCTCAGCAGGTTTAATTGTTAAACTTCGGGAAACAATTCAGAGTGGCCCATTGAACTGGCTGCTGCTCAGGAGTAAACTGAGACCTGCCCTTTAATAAATAGAAAACCAAATGATTAGCAGCAGAATTAGCTCATACTCACTACTAACTACCTGCTCTCTGTATGGCACTCAGTAGCTCCAACCACTTAACATTTTTAAGCCTTTTTTCCCCTCTGTAATGTAAACTTCGTGAAGCTCAGGCCTTTTTAAAATGTATACCCTTCGCTAAGTACGCTTGATACAATAAAATCTTTGTTCTCTGCAGCATTGCAGATTCATATATGTATATACACACATGCACTGTCTAATATTTATCTGGTCTGGAATAAGCATTAATCTTTAATTACTATATAAACATTTTAAACAGGTGTGGAATAACTGCACTCTCAAAAATGCAGTGTTTATCTCCTTGCTGCCTGATGGCATCAGCCCCACTGCCTGACAGCTTTCACCTCCCTGTGCTTGAGGTGGAAACGGAGAGGTGGTGGGTAAAGGGCAAAGAAATGCCCCAAATCCCACATGAATCAGAAATTTCCAGTTGTAAATTATGCACCACCATAACATCCTTTACCACAGTTTGCCAGCCAGGAATTGAGTTTGGGGTAGTGTTTTTCTGTGTTGGTAGGGTGTGGGGCTGGGGGCTGTATATATAGCCATGCATTTTTTTTTCTTCCTGTGGATTGTACGCCCTCAGCCGCCTTTTCTTGGGGCTGTGCACGGAGCCTGTGGTGTGAGGAGATATAAAGCAGCATTTTTCTAACTGCCTTTGGAAACAATGAGGGCTCTGTTAACAGGAGCCCAAGCCTCTGCAGACCGCTTCGCTGGGTGGAATGACTGGTGGAGCCCAGGTTCAAAGCCATTGGCCTCCAAGTGCTTTAATTCAGCGTTATTTTTGCTTCTCTAACATCTTTTTTCCTTTCGTTCTTTTTTTCTTTTTTAACCTAAGCATTCTGAGGTCTCCTTGTTTGGTAGGGAAGTGAGCAGCAACTTTTTATAATTAGATTAAAGTTAATCAAATGAAGGCTTGGATATTTTTAAATGTCATTTAATCTGCTTCTCTTCTTCCTTCATGGATTTTATCACTCTAGCTTAATTTGTTATAAAATTTCACCTCATTTTTGCCTAGTACCAGGTTTTCCAGTTTAAAATAAAGTAGAAATAGAAGACAACAGATATTTTCAGCAGTCTCTGTTCTTCCTTGAAATACACAAACTCAATTCTGTACTAGACTTGACACCAAGTAGTTGTAATATTCCTAGTAGTAATTTTTCTGCTATTACAAATCTGCTAGGTTGGAGAAATGAAAGAGAAATAGGAAATACAAGGTTCTATAATTAAGGACAAAATGAAGAGGATAAAGTTCTCAAGAAAACTTAATTGAGGAATATTTCTTACAGAAAGCAGTTTATGTCTGTGGTAAGTGCTGACTGATGAAGTTAGGATATTTTGGTCAATCTAAAATGATAATCCCTGAAGAGAGAGAGATGGGAGCATGGAGTTGGGGAGCACAGATGATGGCGTTTCTAAGCTCCGGCAATAAAAATGTAAACATCCTTTCTTGTTTGGTCAAAAACTCTATCTTCTGTACTATGTTTTGCAAATGAAATATGAAAACAAGGCAAAGGAAACAATGTTCAAAACTATTTTTAACATCTTACACTGTTGTAAACTCAAGGTATCATATGAAGTTTGACTTTACACTTGGGGTCTTTCTCTGCTTTGGGGAGTTTGCTGCTCAGCTCAGCCTTGTCGGGTGTTTGCTGCTCAGCTTAGCCTGACAAGCCTACTTTCTACTCAGAGGAGGGGAGATCAGGTTTCCAATTTGTTAGGCGATAGGCAGTGAGGCGGTGCACTGACAGGTCTGGTTCTGATTTTTAAGTGGTGTTAAAAAGGTCAAGGTTCACATTTTTCCCATTTTATCCTGAGTTCATCACCAGCAAATCTGCCTTTGCCACATTTAGTCAACACTACTAAATGAACCAAGACCAGAAATGGGGATCATGGGTTTGCTTTCCTCCCTGGTTATATTCTAGCATCCACTGCAGAAAAAGAAAAATTCATGTCATCATAGAGTGGCCCTTGCTTCATAGTTTTGACTAGTAGTCTGATCATATAAATCTCTAGTTAACATTTTTTATTTATTGTGAAAATAAATAGCTCAATAATTTTAATGTTTGAAGGTAAGAATGGAGGGCTGTTTTATTAATTCATTTTTCCTTTGTCATGGTTCTTTAAGTTTACACTTCTGTTTTGAAAAATGCTGTTAAGAGCTGCATTATGTAAAAATATGTAATATTGAAATTATCTTTTTTCTAACACAGAAGTTAACAATAGCTTCCCAAATCTCTGCTATAAAAGATTAAGTATCATTTTATGTAGTAATGCTAATAAATAATGAGAAAAGTTTAGAGAAATAATTCTTGATATTTATAATGTTTTATCTCCTTGGGATTGTTTTTTGAACTGATGATAAACTAGAAAGTTAATTTATTTTTGCAAAAAGTGACAAAACTTAAATAAATGAAACGTTATGACCCACCCCTCTTAGAGAAATTAATTGTATCAATTGAAAATGGCCACACTTTTTTGCTGGTTTATTGGCTAATTTGTTTGAAATTGATTAATGCTTTTTTTAAATGACACATTAGAAAATATATATTAAACTTTTATTTTTATTTTGAGATAAACCTGAAAACTTTAAAGTTTGGTAATTTGTGATTTGCTAAAATGCAGAAATGTGAAGAAATGTACATGTATGTGAGATGTTTGGCTTTTATTGGCTTTGCAATAATGATAAAGTGATTTATAGATTATCAAACTACTATACTCTTCAGACACATATATTATGATGTTCCGGTGTGATCTCAGGCAACCTTGTAAACCTGTCTAAATCTTTAATTTAAAGAAGAATTTTCATTTGTAAGACTTAAAAGAAGCTTGTGGGACGTGTCAGAATTTTTAAATTACTGCTCTTTTATTCACAAAAAGCTATGTGGGTACTCCATGTAAATTGAGAGATACTGAATGTCCCCTTCCCCACTTATATTGGAACACACACACACATGCACGCACACACACAATATTTTTCTGTGTTTATAAGTGCTATATAAAGAATTAATATGTGGACACATTACATAATACCTTAGAGTTTTACAGCCAAACGTTTGTGGGTGCTGTTTCCACTCCCACCCTTCTTAAACACAAATATGTACTTAAATAAGGAAAAATATACCCTCTGAAGTGAAATCGTAAAAACATTTTCTTTTTTACTTGCGAGAATTTTTCCTATGGTGGGTTTTCCTAAACATGTGAAAGAAACTAATGGTTATGGGTGATTTTAACACCTCCTAAGAGCTAATTGATAGGGCCAGTTCATTAAGATCCCCCTAGCCCCTTACAGCCACACAGGTAATAAAAACCATCGATGCAACAGATAACAATCAGAAACCTTTGAATTTAATGTTTAAAATCAGAGTTACTAAAAAAGCTTCTTTTTTCTGCAGGATAAAAATGCAAACATTTTACATGTTAAAAAGTAGAATAATGTGGCTAGTTTAGCCTTTAACAGTTATTACTCATAATGAATTATCTATACCTTTAGTATTTAACTTATCCAATTTTTGGGATGTTTTCTCAGTGTTTTGTATAAGTTGTATGTTTTATATTTGGAAGAGACAATGTTGCTTGAAAGACTTACTCATAAGTGTTATAGACATTATATGCATAAAAACTATAGCTCTCCTCCAATAAATCTTATGTTATCCCCATTATTTTATTCTAAAGAAGAATGTAGATCACCGGCACAACATAATAAGAAGTATGGAATTTTTTTACCCAGGGAACTATGTGAATAAAACGTTAGATGTTTTCAAGTTAATTTGACAGAGTTGTCATTCCAGGATATTGCTGAATGCAGCTGGGAAAGGTTCTTTGGCAAAGACTAATCAGTACAAGCTCCAGCAAGTTGTGGAAATATATTAATCACAGAATCCTTTTATGAACAGTTATAATGTTTGTTAACCTTGTTCTAGCTAATACAAAGAATTTTTTCTGAGACACACTTGGTATATTCAGCAGATTCTCTTTGATAGCTTGATAAGCTGCACCTAGCATTGAGTAAAGCAGTGGTGTGTGTTGCTAATACATTTCAGTGATGTCCCCCCGGATTCGAAGCTGTGCCAGCAGGATCCTTTGTCTTTTCCTGATACCTCTTGTTCAAGGTGTATTGATGTAAAGGGAGAACCATTATTTTAGTTTAAAATATTAAACAAAATAATTTTTATTTCTATTTCAATACTGATGGATCACCCACTGCCACAAAAATAAATAAATGAGCTTAAGTCATCAAACAACGTTATTTTATTGGTCTGGTTTATGAAGAATGCGAAGTCCCAGTGCAGAAGTAAGTATCTGCTCTTTCCTCATCATCAACTCCCTTCCTGTTCTAGTTATTGTCTGTAAATCCCAGTTAAGTACTCAAAGATTTAAAGTGTAATGAAACTTAGATGGTTGGGAAAGTGGTTGAAGTGAATGTTCTCTGTGAAGCTTTTTTATTATTTAAAAGTTTGGGTAATTCCGTTGTTCTCTTTTCCTAAATATATTCAAGAATACCTGCTTTCAGTTCAGATTTTAACAATCATAATTTTCAGTGCAACAGATAAAATGTATTTTATTTTATGTAGACTTTGCTATCTACTCACTTTTTCAGAGGTGAAGTCCGAAAAGACAAAATGTGTTTATAAAACCCTAGACTCACCTGTGACTGGGGACTAAAGTGCATTTCTTCCCATTCTCTTATGTTGGCTTCTCCACAGAAGAGGCCACGACACCAGGTCAGGAGGCTGATAGGAGACCAGATCACTCTAGCCAATTAGCCCATTTCCCTGTAACCTATGGGATACCTCCTGCCTTTTCGCATTTTTTTTTCTTTTTTTTTTTTTTGGGAGAAAGAGCAGTGATGCCCTCTAGCCACTGACATTTCTGCTTCATGCCCCGAAATTAGAGGAATCTGCTCAGCCTGGTTAGTGTGAGCAATCCAACCCTGTGGGCTGGTATTCCCACTGGAACAGCCTCTCCTGATCAAAAATGTAGTTTCCAAGATGCCTAACCCAGGCTGTGTGGTAAAATTAAACCCCTCACCATCCCCAGCTGCACCACACTGGAGTGGCCCCTCCTGGTCCTCTAGACGGTGTGATTCTCAGTCCTGTTTGTTCATTATGCAAACCATTCTTTTGTTTTGTTTAAATATGTTTCATCATCTCTTCCCATTTTATACACATGTATCCTCCCAGAATGAACACTAACTCAACACAGGACTGAGCCCAGAACTTTAGAGATGTCAGTCGGCTTCCTGCTCCTTCATTCACTGAGGGTGCTTTCCCCTTGTGTGCACGTCACCCTCCAGGTGATTTCTAAAACTCTCCTCCAGTGATCTGGCTCAGAAGCAGACATCTTACTTAGTAGTTTAACAGTGCACTAACTGGAAGGCAGAGTAAAGACAGACAGATCTTGTTTCGGTAACTCTGTTCTTGAATGGAGAAGCGTGATATTTCATTGCCCTAACAGTGGAGTCTGGGCCAAGGGCATGTGAGTGAGAGTGTGCTGCTGACTGGTGCAGTTAGTGGAGCAAGACTAGAGAAGGCACCAGCCCTTCTGGGCACACATCACAAACACAGACCTGCCTAGGTTCCTCTCTCCTTCCCATCAGTGTGTGCCTGCCATGTAACTCAGCAAGTTGGAGAACTTCTTAGCTTATTTAATCTTCTTAAAGTACCCTTGGATTTTGCCTTCCCCATCAAGTTCCTACAACCCAAACCTGTGGACCAGCCGTTCTCTTCTTCACGGTTGACAATGTGAGAAGACTCTTCTCGTCCTTTTTTTGGACACCAGACATATATTGGTGGAGAATATCAGCCATTTAGGCAGGTGTATTGAGGTGTAACTTATATACAGTTAAATGTACTGTTATTAGTATGTAGTTCTATGATTTAAAAACTGCATATAGGCCTGTAACTACCACCATCATCAAGATATAGAACAATCCATCTTGCACAAAATTCCCCTGAGCATCTTCAGAGTCGGCTTCCTCCTCTCTCTCCCCAGCCCCCACCTTATAATCTCTAATGTTTTCTGCCCTAATGTTTTTCCTTTTCCAGGATATCATATAAATGGAATAATCCTCTGGGTAACTTTTGGAGTCTGTCTTCTTTTACTTCACATGTGCATTTGAGATTTATCCATGTTGTGTATATCAGTAGTCCATTCCTTTTTGATTGCTGAATGGTAATCTATTGTATAGATCAACTTATTTTTTAACTTCAGAAACAAAATCATAGAACTTCATTATAAGATTTTTATTACATATCACATTTATATGTATTCTTAACATTTTAAGTTATATATAATTAAAGTCTGAGATACAATGGTTAATTTTTAATTCTTGTATTCCTCTTTTAAACATTGTTATATAGGGTTTTGTTTTGTTTTACTGTTATTTTCAGTTTATCTTATTCACTACAATATGAAGTCTAGAAGGCCAGTGGGGCTCAGGACTGTCTGCAAGACAATCTATAGGTCAATCTGTATAATAGGCCTCTACTCCAATCATATTAAAGTAAGATTTTCTAATTTTTTAAAATTTTTACCTATGTATTATTTTCTTAAAATAAGGACTGAATATGTTTGAAGGCATTAAATAATACATTATGATGTTTGTTCTTCAGATACAATCAAGGGTTCTGATTCAGAGATCAAATGTGACTATTGTAAGGGCTGCAGACATCACCTGTCAGTCCCCTGATTTCACAGTAGGGAATCTCAACAGATGCAGGGACCCCTCAGTCATTCACTCAGTGGAAGGGCAGACCTCAGTCTTCACTCCTGGTCCAGGCTGTGCTTCCAGAGGCTCCTCAGCACTTCCTCTGAGGCTACCTTACTGGTCTTTTGACAGACCATCCAGAAACAAGGGCTTTAGGATTCTTTCTCGTTGGCTCAAAAAACCAAAACCAAAAAAGGCAAAGGTTTGAAGTGCAGCATCATCATGAGGCATAAACTTGTGAAGGTAATTGGATTCATTTCATTGCACGTTTGGTGGCCATTACAGCTGAAATGTTGCAGTTTTATGCCAAATTGAATGAATTTCTTGTATTACTTTTTTTCATCCAACAAACTACAGCCTAGCTCCATTTGACTTTCTACCTGGTGGAAGGTTTTTATTTTTATTGTTCTCTGTCATGAAACAGATTTTAGTAAATAGTTTGTAGAGGGCCATTGTCCAAGCAGCAGCATTTGCAGACATCATTTCTGTCAGCAGCGCCGAAGTAGCACCAGGGTTCCACGTTGGAATCCTCTTTTCCAGTGAGGTATCAATGTCTACGGTCAGACTCCTGGGTAAGTGCTGCATCTGGATGTCAGCAAGAGCTGCAAGACAGTTTGCTAGTCAATCAGCTACTGCCAGGGCTGGCTGGAAGCACCATCTCTGTGCAGGTCTGACTGCAAACAAAGCACAGACCTGTAGGGCAGACTGCGTCACCTCAGACCTGAGAATCCTGCCAGTGTGCTTCTATGTCATCTCAGTTAAGTGCCTGCCCCCCCCAAAACACAAAAAAAGCACTGAGATACGGCCATTTCTCCTTTAATGTACCCTGCCAAGGCTTATAGATGACCTTAAACCATTAAAATTCATTTTTTAAAGTTGAATAGATTGTAACTTCTTATGTAGACAGTAAGGAAAAAACAAAAATTGTCGTTTTTATTACGTTCTCATAAGATCAGCAAATGGTGCTCAATATTAATGATCCCAGGAAGGTCTATAGAAATGTTAAAGTGTCTCTTTAAACTTGCCAGAGAGAATGATCTTGGGAGTTAAAAAAGCATTGGCTCTCGGTGTCAGAAATAAACATTTGAATTTGCTCTTCTTTCTCCATTACGTTTCTCTCCCTGTTTTTATCCCTATTCAGTAATATATAGTGTGCATTTCTCAGTGAAAATAACAACCAAAGAAAGTAATTGGAAATAAGTAAAATCTAAACCAAATACTAGTGTGAAGTAGTAGAAAAAAATGAAATGGAAATCTAGTGACAAGCAAAGCATTGTTATTGAAAGGTTTTTGGAAAAAAGCCTCTTTCACTTTGCTGGCCCAGTTAGAAAGTTTGGTCCCTGGTACAAAGCCATACAGCTGCACACAATATAAAGTAAGGTTAACAGCATATTTGGTGCGTTTATAACTTCCCTAGGGCATTTTAACATTAAAAATAGCGATTGTTAACCCGGTCCATCTGAACTTAAATATGAGCTTACTTTGCAAGAAATGAGGGGTAACGTCTAAGCACTTTTCTCTAGGTTTTATTATTATTTTTAGGTTTTACATTATAGCTTCTTTTTTTGTCTGTTTTATATGTTTTATTCCATGTACTGAGATACTTGGAGTTGTAGGCTAATTGGATATAAGACTCTTGACTCTCAACTCTGTAACTTTACTCTTAGGTAGTATGACATAGATCTTCGTAAGTATAATACATTCGTTACTCTTACACAGGGTGACATTGATCTTCATAAATATATGCGCTTTCCTCTAACATGGTGTGACATTGATGGTCATAAACATAACACAAGCTTATGGTGGATGTGGTAGTTCTTTATCTTAGAATGGCCCATGAGTGTTCCAAGATGATAATTATAGACAACTACCTTAGTATATTTTGATCATAATCACAGAAATGCAGTTCCTAACAAGGGTGGCAACTTCTAGACTGTCAGAATGGTTGCAGCCATATATATGATTTTTATTAATAAACAAAACCAAGAAGTCTGCACATGGACTAGGGCTCAGTCTTGCTAAAAATATAGTGAATAACACAAATACACTTTATTATCTCTTCGATAATGCAAAAAAGGTAGAAGCATCCATCCTTTCAAGGCTGAGGGAGGTGTACATTCTGCTTGGCAATTCTCCAACTCACAAACAGGAAGCAAATATATTTAACCATAAGAGGCATCCTGATAAAAATAAGTTTAAGGGCACTTTCCAAGTTAGTCCCTACTGTGATCCTGAAGTCAACCAACTATTAGCCAGAGCCAAACAGCAATTTCCAAGGTGAAAGGAGATAAAGATACTAGAGCAGACAGCAACTCTCAGCCCAGATCCAATGTAACACACCACAGAGGCTGCTGTCTCCGTATGTCCCCAGCCTTATTCATGGTTCATGGGCTTTGGAAGCTGTCACCCAGGTAATCCTGTGCTTCCCTTTATGATGAGTGGAACTGAACGCAGCATACGGACTGTCAGGTGATTTTTTGAAGTGGGAAAACTGCAAAACCCAGTTACGTTCACTACAACAAGGAATGTCGTATGAATGTTTTCCTCTGTACCATCTCTAAGACCCACTTCCTTTTATACTTTATAACTTGGTAGTGGAGTCAACATTGTCTGAGATAAGAGCCTGAGAGCATCTTGATGACAGATTCGAATGGCAAGTGCTGGTGCTCATTCCCTCTGGAAAGCACAGGGAACTCTTGATAGAGGTAGAAATCTATTCGCATGTGGGACAACTCTATGCATTCTGGGACTGAGTTCATTAGTTTAGTTTCTTAGATGATAAGTGTGCTGAAAAACTTACAAACTCACAAGGTGTCCTTCCAGCAATGGTTTTTAATATTTTTGCCCTCTCTCTCAGTGGCACATGAGAGTTGATGCCTCTCACCTCCAAGATGGACATAAGGAAGGATTCTGTTCACATCCACATGGCCCTGTAGGGAACAAAGTGATTGGTCACAAGGGTAAGATGTCTAGGATGGAATATCAAAACTACGCAGCCTAAAGAGTTCCACACCAAACACTTCTAAGCTAGCTGCTGGGTCTAGGGTGGAGCCCCCTACCTGTTGAACTCTGTTGGAAATAAGAGTCTGTACTCTTGCATTTTGTCCAGATCCGCTACAGCTTCCTTGCTCTGGGCAGTATGCCAGGATTGCCTGTCTTGAGCAAAGCTGGGGCATCCCCATCATAAAGTGAAAGGAGTCCACTGCAGCTGCAGACTATTAAAATGCAAATTGGGCAAATACGTTAGCTCTCAGCCATCTGAAGAGCTAATGTCTACAGCAGTGGTAGAGTTTGGCACTCCATATGGTAGCTAATAATGTTTTCAGGGCCAGGAGGAGTTTTCTGATTTATGGAAGTAAAGGGAGAGAGTGTAGCTGCTGAGTTGTAAGTAGGAATAGATACAGGCAACCTCTCACAGGTAGGTTAGAGCACATTTCTGTGACGTTGTGGCAAGCCTGTGTGAATTATAAAGAGAGTTTTCATTTTCAGCAACTTTATTCACCAAAATCAGAAGATGAAAAAAGTTAGGGTATTTTAAAGACACATACACCAGCATTATCACCATCACTACCGACAAGTTTGATCCTCACCAGCCATAATTCCAAAATACAAAACTGACCCCCTGAGGCAGTCTATGTACTTACAGGGAGGTTAAGGATTCCCAAGATACTTTACTGTTCATTGTTCAGCCATTTGAAATTCTGGAGGATGTTGAAACGGTTGTGGGGAGATTTTGGATTTGAGAGATTAGGTACACAGACACACTGTCTGTATGAATATGTATTTATAAATCCAATTTGTCACGGTCAGAATCTCCCTGTAATGTACCTGCATGCATCCATCCATCCATACGTGTGTTTGTGTGTGTGCATTGTAGTAGCAGATAGAAAAGAGAAGGTTAGACTGTATGGTGCCTAAAATTTGTTGAAAAAGTAAATTAAAATTCATTTTCAAATGTTTCCATTTCCAGAAGGGTGAATTTGTGTACATTTTTTTCTTGAAAAATATTGTTTCTTTGTCAACCTGCTAGTCAGCATCCTGCTCTCAGACTGTATTTTGGTTAACAAAAGTAACATTTTTATCACTTGGTCCAGTTGAATATTTCTCTCAGTGGATCTTTGAGTTCTTTTTCCTCTGATATTTAACTTCATTTACTACTTCCTGGTGACAGCTGTTTACATAACAAGTCAGGTACCCTCTCAATACTTGGGGAGTAGTACCAGCCCTCTCTAGACTGCATTCTGGACTCTGCAGTGATCTCTGTTCTAGAATAGAACTCTGTTCTGTTTAGTGTTAACTGAAAAATCCTTGGCCAGACTCCAGCTTCTTGCATTTTTACTTTTTCTTTACTAAGTAGGCCCTCCCTTCAATGGTAGAAATAAGAAAGAAAATGAGTTGTAATTTAAGTCACCAAAATTTGCTTGATTAGTGGTTTGAGCAAATGGCTGACACCTAGAGAAGATGTTGATGTGAATGGCTAACAGCTCTGGGACTCTGAATGTCTTAGGTCTATGGATCCCCAAGTGCTTTTCCCAGAGCAGGTCATACAGGCACTTGGAGCCACCTGATGTCTTTCCTGACACCATATGCAGAGATTGTTTGGCTGATCAACTGACATATAAAGTATGGGAGTTAGCTCTCTCTATTTGTCATAGGTAAACAAAGATCAACAAAATAAATGCAGAAAGGTTTTTAGATGCCAAGTGCTTATCTACCACAGATGAGGAACTTTTATTTTTTTTCTGACAACTACACATCTCAGACCCACAGACTTTTCTTCTCTAAAGAAAACACAAAAAATAACCATCAGTTAATAGTGAAGAATGGCTTATTTCTCATCTTCTTTTTCATTCCATTTACTAATTATCTCTGTGCTTTAGAGTGAGCTATCCCTTAGCAAGAAAGGATGATAATAAAGGAAATATTCCAGGATAATTTGAGATTTTGAGGTATCTCCTCTCCTCTAAACGTGAAAAGAAGACAAGACAATCTCAAGACATTGGAGATAAGGCTGCTCATGAATGTGGCCCATCTTGCTGCTAGATCGCGAGTCTGCAGGCAGCATCTGGTGTGCCCACATGCTGAATGAGAATGGCTCTGCAATGTGGTACTGACATTTTAGACCAAATAATTCTAGCTGTTCTGTTCAACAGTGTCCCTGAGCTCTGCCTGCTAGAAGCACCCAGACAGCCCCAGTTGTGACAATCACAGATGTCTCCAGATATTGCCACATATAGCTTGGGTGATAAAATCACTCCCAGTTGGAAACCACTCTTCTAAAAGGATAGATAGGAGCTAAATAGTGCTGGAGGACATGATTAACAGAGAACATTGGAAGTTTGTCATCAGCGTGTTGTGTTTTGGTGTTTACAACAAAATCTGAGTTCTGAAGTCTGAAATTCCAATTTGGTATGTGGTATTTTTGCCCTTGTTTGCAGTAAAATAATGCCATTAAGGTAAACTCAATGTCAGTGGCCTCATCCATACACACAGACTCATAATCCATCTTTCTCTAAGTTCTGTTATCACATATCTGTGTATGGAAAATTGGTGCACATTAAAATACGACTTTTAAGACAAGCATAGTTTTCAGTTTTACAGAATAAAAGCATTTCTGCTACCAAATCTTGCCTGGGTGTGAATTTTTACACCTGAGATATTAATCCTTGAAAAGAGGTTTTTATAATGGAAATGCTGACACAACCTTAGCTGCCCTGCTTGAAATGGTATCATTATATTATTCCACTCTTGACCATGTCCATGTTCTGAAAACAGTGGCAGCATTGTCTGCCTCTGAATAGTGCTAAAGGACCATGGAGGGGAAGGATTTGGCACTGATATCAGAAGGGGGGAAATTAAAAATACACCTTGCATTTATGACTCATTCATTCAACTCGGGGGATTTTCTACAATGAATAAGTAAGTTTGATCCACATAGAATTGATATATTTCTCCATATATGGACAACTCAAACTGATAAGAATGTCTTTTGGTTCTATCTCCCAGACTATTTTAACTGAGTCTTCAATAGCTAATCACTTTTCTGTTGGATAACTTATGAAATTTTCATTAGGCTCTGTGGCTACTAACAGCCCACATAGACATCTTGAAATAATGTTTTATGTCTTGCCCTGTACACGTGGTTGTCCAGATGTGTATACACACACACACACACTCATATGAGTTATCTCCTTGTATAATCTTTTTTTTTTTTTTTTTTTTTTTGAGACGGAGTCTCGCTCTGTCGCCCAGGCTGGAGTGCAGTGGCGCGATCTCAGCTCACTGCAAGCTCCGCCTCCCGGGTTCACGCCATTCTCCTGCCTCAGCCTCCCCAGTAGCTGGGACTACAGGCGCCCGCTACCACGCCCGGCTAATTTTTTGTATTTTTAGTAGAGACGGGGTTTCACCGTTTTAGCCAGGATGGTCTCGATCTCCTGACCTCGTGATCCGCCCGCCTCGGCCTCCCAAAGTGCTGGGATTACAGGCATGAGCCACCGCGCCCGGCCCTCCTTATATAATCTTCAGACAGCCTTTTCCAAAAAGGCAGTGTTTTGTGTCTTGTGTTGGCAGTATTTCATGTCTCAGATACTTTTCAGAGTTTCTTGTATGCCCTTAGTGAGTAGGAAAGGGGAAAAAATTCTCCTAGCAAGTCCTGCCTGCATTTCCCCTTTCCCCTTTCTCTCAACAAGGACAGAAATGAGAACATTCTCCAAGATGTGCGCAGACTTTAAAGCGGATCCCAGGCAGGCGCGGTGGCTCAAGCCTGTAATCCCAGCACTTTGGGAGGCTGAGGCGGATCACCTGAGGTCGGGAGTTCGAGACCAGCCTGACCAACAAACAGGCACACCATCTCCACTAAAAATACAAAATTAGCCGGGCGTGGTGGCGCATGCCTGAAATCCCAGCTACTCAGGAGGCTGAGGCAGGAAAATCGCTTGAACCCGGAAGGCAGAGGTTGCATCGCGCCGAGATCACACCATTGCACTCTAGCCTGGGCAACGAGCGAAACTCCATCTCGGGAAAAAAAAAAATCGGATCCCACGTCCCACCGTCCTTCCACCATTGCCAGGGACAGAAAAAATAGTTCAGGATAGTTAGTAACAAAATTAAGAGAAAAAAAAAGACACTAAGAAAAACATAATGCTAAATTTTCAAAGCAAGTATTATAAAGAAACGCACCTTTTTAGTGGAGGGGAAGCTTGTGGAAAATAAAAGAAATAGTGAAAAAGCCCTGTTAAACTCGTTTGCTCTCAGGCACAGGACAGAAAATGTATCACTGTGCCTACAATGGAAAGGCTACTGAAGTTTTTTTCATATGCACCTCAACTGCCATTTTTGAGTTTACTCGTTAAGCAAAAAGCTTTTATTACAGAAAATATCCTTGAAAGATTTTGAACAAAAGGACATACTGTAAATTTATTGTTTGATTTTAAGTTCTTGGCATGCATACTACATATTGGTAACCATTCCTTCATTTAAAGGGCATTTTGCGAGCTCTTGAGGCCTGTGGCTTTGAGGGAACTGCGTAATGCCCCGCTGAGTTTTCATCTGCTGCTACTGCACCAACACATGGCTTTGAATTTGAGTTGCCAGCAAAACTGCGGTGGTTGGAGTGACCACTGTGGAAAAGACTTATTTCAGAGCCTCCGCTATGGCCCAGAACAAAGTAGATGGCACTGTCCAGAAACACGTTCTGCATCTCTTTCTCGCTCCCTTCAGGGACCCTTGTGATTCCGTGTGGGAGCCTCTCCTCCTGCCTCTCCCTGCCAGTGATAGGGTGCTGAGACGTTAGTACCCATGGTCACAGAAGCTGCCCAGGTGGTGACAAGACACACACGTGTGTGCCTGCTCCGGATGTCTGCTGTGGGTGGAGCCTGTCGTTTGGAAAGTGTTCATCTCCACAAATCAAAGGTGCTTGTTGTGAACAAGAAACACAGTCACCTCAGACTGCCATTAAAAGCATTTCATGTTCTGTGGGCAATTCTGAACTCCAGCTTTTCTTTTTTTTCTTTTAAAATTATTATTTTTAAAAAATATAGTGTTCAGTGGTAAAATCCAGAGTGAGGGAAAGCTCCCCAATACTGGAATACTGGTGATCACTTCCTCATTAGCTGGCCCACATTTATAGCCCCGCAAACACAGTCCCCTTATTAAATGTATTAAATGCCTCGTTCTGCTGTCCAGTATGGGGTCTGCTATACAGTATGTGTGTTTTCAAACAATTAGATAGCACAGGAAAGAAACAAATCCCTGCCCCGAAGGTCCTAACTTTAATAAAGTATGTTATTTCCAATAAGCCCCTTTAATATAATATTATATTGTTTGCCAAATGAATTTAAATATTTTAATGTTGAAATGATATCAGCAAATACCTAAAACTTATTTCCTGTTGCAATAAAATACACGTTTTCTCAGTCTCACAACTTTCCACATTAATAATAATTAAAAGGTTAGAAGGCAGCCTTAATTACATAGCTAATCACTCGGCCTTTCCCCTCGTTGTTTGGGACAAACATACAAGTTTTCTAAATGTCTTAGCCAAAATGTCCTACGTTCCATTCTTCTTCTTCTTTTATCTAATGTGTAAGAAAGCGCATTTGATGGATGGAACATTCCCGTCCACAACCTCTCCAGTAAATCTCTCAAAGTCCTTAACCTCGTACAGCCTGCCTGATAGAGCATTTGCTGTTGTTTATAGTCTGTTATCCCAGGGATTGGCTTTCTGTGTAATAAAGTACTAAAAGTCTCGTAGAGTAGGATCAACTTGGGTGTTCTGCGGTTTGCATGGTGGTGGTTATACCTAATTCCCACAGCAGAGACGGGAGTTAGAGGGAGCATCATAAAGAACACAAGTCAGTGGGCTGCCAGCTGAGTGAGCTGCCCTGCGAACAGGTTTGGGTAATAGCAATATTTCTAAAAGGGAGGGCAATGACACTTAAGTGAGGTTGGTCTTAGGAAGCAGTTGCAGGTCTGGATCCAATAACGTATCATTGACTGCGTCTGGAATAGATCGCCGGATAAATTGAGTGAACTCTTACCCTGCTGGGAGCTTTTTTGCTGTGTGCTCTGTGCTTATTAGCCTCCTAGCCCTCGTTTGACCCTGTTCCCTTTTTAAATTAATGCATCTCCAATTCCCTAATCTAGACTTTTTTTTAATCTCATGTTTCTTTGTTTCCACCCAATTTGAGGAAATAGCTGAGGAGTTTTCAACTGTTTACCCAAAGGCAAAATTAACAGGTGCATTCAGGGTTATTGTAAGGCTCATCAAATACACTGAAGGCCTGGCCCATTTCCAGTTCTGATAAATAAGTTAGCATTGTAAATTAACTGAAAACTGACAGATAAGAAGCAGTATTTAGTGGCCTAGATAAAAGTTTTACTGTGCATGTGTAGAAGCGCCTCACTACAACATGTATCTTGACACTTAGGTCCATAATAATGAGTTTCTAATGAGCAGAACCTGGGTAATAGACACTGAAGCGAAACCAGAAAGATCCTGCTTTTAACACAGTCTAGGAATGTATTTACATCCGATAGCAGCTTGGCACAAGGAAGAAAGTGTTCAGGAGTTTGGCCATCTGTTTGCTGCAGTTTATGCCTTTATTTGGAGGCAGTTAGCAGAAGACCCATGAGATTGCATGAGGAGGATTAGGAAGAAAAGGCACTGGGAAAAATAAGGTGTCTCTGATATTTTACGTTGGAACACATGATGATCATTTATGGGGAAACAAATAGTATTTTATGTGCAGTGAATGTCTTCAGGTGTAAAAAGCTCTTTAAGACCTAGCTTCCTTATTTTGAAAAACGAACTTCCTATTTTGCAAAAAACACCCACTTTTTTTCTGAGCAATTCTAGCTCCACGAAAGGGTTTTGAAAAGTTCTTTGTTAGATAGAAGGGATTGCAAAACTGTGTCACCATAATATTGATGGTGTTGCTGTTTTATATAATATGGCAAAGAGCTTCGGTCTGTTCTGTCGAGTCTCTAGACATAATAGGGTAATTCTTATAGTAGACTCTTTAGAATAAAGAGCTTATAATAAACATTTTGGAAAGTCAAATTCAGGGAAAAGCTACAACAACAGTAATTCTAGGATTTATTTTTGCAATGCTAAAATTATTTTATTCCACATAACTTAAGTACATTTACTGGGTATTCACAGGTTATTCCCAAATAAAAAGCCTTCACATTTTTGCGTTTATTAGCAAGTCAGCAAACTTTCCTGGGTCTGGAGAGTAAAAAGAAATAACAGTGCTGTTTGCTTTTTTACCCTTTGTCACCTCCTTTAAGAAAGAGCATCATGTACATGAAGTCACTACATTCCTACTCCCCTGTGTTCATTCATGAGCACGTGTGGCCTGTAGGTGCATGAAGATGAAACAGTTTGATCAGCATGCGTATGGTGGTCATATTCTTTTATGAATCCCTAGGTTTATATTACCAGATGTTTTCCTGAAATGTAGCATTTTTTAATTTATTTACTAAATGTTTATTAAGCATCTAGCATTGGCCTCCAGTGTGCCTTATACATAATAGAAGTGTATCAAGCATTTGTTTAACAATTAATTTAATCAACAAGTGACTAAATCACAGGAAGAAAGAAACTTGCTTAGAACCTATACTTACAGGTCTAGGCCAGCAGTGCTCAAATGGTGGCAATTTTGTCCCCCAGGGGAGTTTTAGCAATGTCTGGAGACAGGTTTGATTGTTATAACTGAGGGATGGGGAACAGGGAGGTAGTTGCCACTGTCATCTAGTGGTTGAGGCCAGGTATGCTGCTACACATCCTGCAGTCACAGGAAAGCCCCCACAACAAAGAACTATCTGGCCCAAAACGTCAGTGATGCCACTGCTGAAAAACTGTGCTAGTAGAAGAGACAGTGTATGCTCACCCATCCCTCCCTATCAGCCCACTTCACTATACTTCACACACCCTCCTAGGTGATGCCTACACTCATGGGACCCTCAACAGCCATGTGCACCATCATTACTTACAAATTCTTGTCTTCAGCCCAGACCACTCCATGAAGTCCAGCCCTATGCAGTCCTGCCCTCTGGACGTTCCCACCCCACTATCTTCAAAAGCTCTTTCAAGCACAGAGCAACCAAGTTGGAATTCACCATCTTTTACTCAAACATTAGCTTACAGCATTCTGCTGGGCACATGGTTGTCACTTAGAAACAAAACAAAACAAGAAAACCAAAAAACTTTGTTAAATCAAATTGTATAAGGTACCCAAGACAGAGAGTAGTCAATGTCAAGAGAGGTGACGAGAGTTTTCAGAATAAGGATAAAGTGCTTTTTGCTTTAAAGGCAGTAGGAGCCAGGGTGTGATGGGAGGCCAGGAATCCATAGAGATTTTGTGGAGAAGTTGCCAACTGAGCTGAGCATGAAGGATAAGTGGCGTTTAATCACCTGGGATTCTGGGTGGTGGGAACAGATGAGCAGAGGCACAGAGGTTGGAAACAGGGCCATGAGCAGAGGCTACATAACGGAGCACTGTGACTCTACAAGCGGTAGATGATGAAATGGGGCGGTACGTTGGGACCTGGTCTTGGAGATTTTACATGCAAAGGTGAGAAGTCCATGCTTCACTCTGTAGCCGGTGTGGATCTATGAAGATTGGAAATTGAGATGATTTGTGGTAGATTTTTGGAGACAAACTAACAGCAGTGCCTGCCTTCTACCTCACATCCTTCAAGTCTCATTTCGATGTCACTTCCTTGGAGAGGCTTCTCCAGCACCCATGGTTTGGCTTAATGCCTTGGCCGTACACTCCCAGGGTGTCTTATACTTCTCTTTCATATATCTCGTCTCACTCTTTCCTTCTCCTAAAGTGCTGATCTTCCCGTTAGACAGTACACCCTCACCAAGTCTATTTCAGTGTACTCGAACACCCAGACCGCACAAACCAAAATATCAGCCTGGTTGACAGAGATGTTGCCTGGGTAGACACTGTGTAGAACTTACCAACTGATTAGTATTGGGGCAAAGTGAAAAATGAATTAAGAATGACTCCAAGGTTGTAAACCTTCCTAATAGGGGCATGTGGTACATTCGGATTACTAATATTAATATTTCTATCTATGAAACATAGGTTGACACATTCTGCAGAAAGTAGCTGAGTTCTGTATTGGACACACTGAGATTGAAGTGTTGGTTGGTATTGGTGTGGAGAGATTAGTAAGCATGGGACATGTGCAAGGGAACTTAGGGAATGGAATTAGAGATGAATGTCCACTGAGGTGATGGTATTTAAAACCGCTCCAAGACAGACTGAATAGGCTTCTGTTACTTGGATCTTCTGAAAATTGCCATGAATGACTATTTCATTGTTGTTCCCCCATGATTTTTCTCACCATCTTCTAGATTTCTTAAAGAATATTTACCCTAGGGCAGGTGCCGTGGCTCATACCTGTAATCTTCAGGAGGCCAAGGCAAGAGGATCACTTGAGCCCAGGAGTTTCAGACCAGCTTGAGCAACACAGGAAGACCCTGTCTCTACAAAATATAAGAAAATTAGCCAGGCGTGGTGGCTTGTACCTGTAGTCCCAGCTACTAGGGAGGTTTAGGCAGGAGGATACTTGAGCCCAGGAGTGGTAGACTGCAGTGAGCTATGATTGCACCACTGCACACCAGCCTAGGTGGCAGAGCAAGACCGTCTTTTATTTTAAAAAGGGGGTGGGGGAAATATTTACCCTCTCCCCAGTAAAAGGTACATCATAATTCTATTTCAATACATCTGAAAGGTCAAGCATGATTTCATCTGCTGTTTCTCCCCCTGCACCTTAGTCATTATCAGGAGTCTTCTCCAGCTTCATACTTGTCATTGTTTTGCTGGAGTTTTTGCCTCCTTGGTTTAGTAGAGTCCACAGTGATATATTTGATACATCCTAAAAGATATGAGCTGTACATAAATGTTCTAAGTGTTTGTAAAATACCTGCTCAAATGCTGCCCTGAGGCTTTGCTTTCCGGTACACACAGTCTTCTGGCCACATCTCTCACTGTCACTGAGTGTTCCCCTCAGTACGTTGCTTTGCCTAGCCCTTGTCTTTCAGAGTACGGTTTGCAATTTTCACCTTCATTGGGGGAAACAGAGGTTCACAATCTAGGATTGGAAAGAATGTAGAGCATAGCTTCTCTTTCCATGTTCCCATGGCTTCCATATCGTTTCCCTGTCCCTGCCAGCCTCTTAGAGTTTTCCCATCTTTCCTATCAATGGAGAGAAACTTATTCATTGTTTTTTATAAACTATGGTTCACTCTAACCCAATATTGTAGTAGTTTTGTTTCCTTTTATTGATATTGAGAATTTTAGAGAGAAAAAGGGCATTAGAATCATGGTGTCTGGCTGGACACAGTGGCTCACACCTGTAATCCCAACACTTTGGGAGGCCAAGGCAAGTGGATCACTTGAGCCCAGGAGTTCAAGACCAGCCTGGGCAACATGGCAAAACCCTGTCTCTACGAAAAATACAAAATTTAGCTGGACATGGCGGCACACACCTATAGCCCCCACTACTTGGGAGGCTGTGGTGGGAGGATCACTTGAGCCTGGGAGGTTGAGGCTGCATTGAGCTGTGATTGTGGCACTGCACTCCAGCCTGGGTCACAGAGCAAAGAGACCTTGTCTCAAGGAGGAAAAAAAAAAAAAAAAAAAAGAAACATGGTGTCTGGCCCTGGACCTTGACTCCCCATCTAATATTATCAAAAAGACCACAGGACACCTGGTATCCCAGGGATCATATGCTTCAGGCCAAGGATTCAATGCTACTCCACTATGTCCTCATGCCTGAATATTGCTATGAGGACTTAACAGCAGGGGTCCCCAACCCCCTGAGCCACAGACCAGTACTGGTCCATGGCCTGTTAGGAACCAGGCCGCACAGCAGGAGGTGAGTGGTGGAAAAGCCTTACCTCCTGAGTGCCACCTCCTGTCAGATCAGTGGTAGCATTAGATTCTCATAGCACAGCCTCTATTGTGTACTGTGCATGCAAGAGAGCTAGGTTATGCGCTCCTTATGAAAATCTAATGCCTGATGATCTGAGGTGGAACAGTTTCATCCCAAAACCATCGCCCCACACCCCCAGTCCGTGGAAAAATTGTCTTCCACAAAACCAGTCCCTGGTGCCAAAAAGGATGGGGACCGCTGACTTACAGCATTCAGAGGAAGGGTACCCTGTGAAGAATTTAAAGTAGTAGAGAGCCACCTGAGAATGTCTCAACATATGCTAGATATTCATTTAATGTTTATAAGCCGTGAAGTGGTTGGCTAATAAAACTGGACCAGATAGTTATTCTACTATAATCTTCAATGTGCATTTTCTACAAGATCTATGTTTTATATATATATGCTCATCACTGATAAATGGTACAAAGAGAATCTGGGTATCCTTTTCTTCCTCTAAAAGCATAAGTACAATGTTGAATATGGGATAATAAACTATGACCGTGAAACCCATTACACTTTCTGCCATTAACTCAGTCTGTGACCTTATATAAGTCACTTATTTTACTTTTAATGTACAATAGAGGAATCATTAGAGAGTCAGATGATGACATTGACAAATTGCCTCAATCTCAGATGTAAAATGCTGTGTGATATGAAAACAATTTGTCTTGCCATTATTTCAGATGTTTCTACTTTCCTCCTGTAACCAGAGTCACATTTCATCATCAGTTTGAACATGAGAAAAATATTAAGAGTACATGATCTAAATGCACTGAGCTTTAGCAGCACTTACAGACTGGTACAGTAAAACCTAAGGATTTCTTCTGAGGCCAAATTTTCCTTCCTGAATAGGGCCACTCATTTAGTTATTATCCATTCTTATAAAGAAGTGTTACCCTCAGGTTACAGTTGTAACTCTCTGTCGTTAATTTCTTCTAGTTAAATGAAGTTGTCTGAGAAAGAAGCTAACCTATTTATAAAAGTATATATTTGTTCTTGAGCCAAAAGTCATTTCGAGATGCACTTTCATCTGTTAATGTCACTGAAAGTTGCTAGATAGGTGCAGCTTGAACTTCCATTTTCTTTGTCATGATTGCAGACCCAAATATTTTAAACACAAGAGAAGACACTGCTAAAATCAGGTTTTTTTTTCTCAGATCCAGGAAAAAAGGTGTAGGTTGTTAATGTTTCTTGTTACAAAGTTTTGAAATATTTTCTCAGATAATGAAGGCTATTTATAATTGATTTTAGGAAAACTCAAGCTAACTGTAATAAATATGCCAAGCATTAAGTCTGAAAATTCAAGCTGAATGCAAAAAGTATGGTATGCCAAGAATTTTAAGTTTAATCCTGACATAGGTAAAAACTGTTTGAGGTAGGTTTGCTGTAATACTATTTTTAAAGACCAAATCACAACATTAAATGTACAATCCAAGTACATACAATCCACTCAGTAGTCAGTAAGTTTTCATCCTAGTCTTTTCTTTGAGAAAAATTCATTCTACTTTAGATTTTTTTAAGCTTCATTTTATTTAGGTAATATACCACACTAGGAAAAATACAGGGTTTAGAGACAAACTTGCATATAAACCCCAGCTCTGCTATTCAACCAATTGTGGACTTTGGGGATAATAAGCCCTAGTGAATGGGATTATCATGGGAATTCGATCTGTCAGTATATCTAAAGCTCCTAACACAGTGCCAGCACATGATAGATATTCCGTAAGTAGTAGTTGTTGCTATTGTGATTACTTATATCCTCACATTGAAAGCGCACCCTGTGAACAAGGTGAGAAGAGAGATGCTGAGGGCGAGTTGAAGTCTCTTGCCGACAAGCCGACACCACAGCTCTCCTGCATTTCTGACAGATCATGCAGACGCTATGGCCTCAGTTCTCCCCTTTCTTCTTTTGGAGGGGCCTGGTGGGATGGAGCATGGCAGCATCAGAGGCTACCCTGTTCTCAGCAAAGGTTGGCTTTAACCAACATACTCCACGCATGCATGCATTTATTTATTTATTTGAGGCAGGGTCTCACTCTGTCATCCAGGCTGGAGTTGCAGTGGCACGATCTCTGCTCAGCGCAACCTCCACCTCATGGGTTCAAGTGATTCTCGTGCCTCAGCCTCCTGGGTAACTGGGACTACAGGTGCGTGCCACCACACCCAGCTAATTTTTGTATTTTCAGTAGAGATAAGGTTTCGCCATGTTGCCCAGGCTGGTCTCAAACTCATGAGCTTGAGTGATCTACCTACTTTGGCCTCCCAAAGTGCTGGGATTACAGGCGTGAGCCACCATTCCTGGCCTGCTCCTTACATTTAAGAGAGACCCTATAGGGCTCTGGTCTTTTTTATTTTGTTGTTCTCACACCTTATACTGTACATTGATGTAGCTTCTTTTCTAACATAGGAGTCCAGAGACCCAGAGAAGTTGACAGACATTTCCTTTTGATCCACATGGCCATGGCCTGCTTTGTGCATGAGTGGGCCTGCCTGCTTGAGACCAGCACCTACTGCCAATCTGAGGGCCATCCCCTTGGGTATGGACAGTGATGTTGGCTCACTGGTCAGCGGCTCATAACCCTCATAATCTGTACTGTCTGTTCTGTACCAACCAGGCAGAATCCAGGTAGAAATTCTCTTTATTTTATTTTATTTTATTTTATTTTATTTTATTTTATTTGATGCAGGGTCTTACTCTGTTGCTCAGGCTGGAGAGCAGTGACACGATTTCAGCTCACTCACTGCAACCTCCGCCTCCTGGGCTCACTGACCCTCCCACCTCAGCCTCCTAAGTAGCCGGGACTACAGGTGTGCACCACCATGTCCAGCTAATTTTTGGTAGCAATGTGGTTTCACCATGTTGCCCAGGCTGGTCTCGAATGCCTGAGCTCAAGCAATCCACCTGCCTTGGCATCCCAAAGTGCTGGGATTACAGGTGTGAGCCACGGCTCCTGGCTGAAATTTTCTTATTTAAAATATACAATGTGAGCCTCTGTACCTCATTGCAACCTTTGAAAGCAAGAAATACTAGGCAGTTTATCCCCTATCCCCACCCCTCAAAATAGGATATTTTTAGCTTCAAGTAACAGAAAATTTGAATCAAATTGGCTTTAACCTTAAAAAATGTATTGTCTCCTGTAATCCGACATTTGGAGGTAGGCTGGGATTTGCAGTTGGCTAATACAGAGTCATCTAGGACCCAGGCTTCTCTTTGCTGTCCACAGTATTGACATCATCCCCAGACTGGTCCCTGCTGTGGCTGTAAGTCGGCTGCCAGCAGCAGTTGGAGTCACATTCTTCTCCATTTGGAGAAACAGAGTGACTTCCCTGGCCTTTCCTGAAGTCCTCAGCAGGCCTCCTCTCCCATCTCCCTAGCTAGAGTTGGGTCATATATCCAGACCCAGGCTATTTGCCAGTCAGAGGAGTTGGGATTGCCTTTCCTTAGGCTACTGCTGTGGGCAGCCTCCCTGATGCATAAGGGCAAGAACAAACACCCAAACTACAGTGGGGTTCCCTTCAGAAAGGAGAAGGTGGGACTGTAACGACCACTACAGCAAAGCCACTACAGAAGACTTTTTGGAGGAGGGGATTTTTGTGCTGGGTTTTGAAGAATAAATAGAGTTAGGAAGAGGTGAGGTGGAGATTTTAAGTTGATGGAACATCATATACAGAAAGTTCAGAAGTGGGAGAGAACACAGCCTTTGAGAGGGAACTGTGAGTATGTGAATATGGAGAATGGTTAGAGTCACAGGGGATGAGCCTGGGGAAGAGTCCATGTGTGTCACGTAGAAGTCTGAATGCCATTCCGAATTGTGAGAGCATCCAGAGAAGATATGAGGAAGGTCCTGGTTAAGACAATGGTGGGAAAAACGGAGAGGAAGTGGCATTTAGGGAAATAGGCATTGCAGGACGTTCTGGCCAGTGGGATAGAAGTGAGTGAGAAGAAAGCAGTCAAGTGGTGGATATGAACAAGTCACGTGTCCTCCAGCCACTGGAACCACCTGTGTCAGCGTCCTTCCTCATGGTTCTTCCTCCCTTCCTATCTGTGTCTCTACATCACAAACATACACATGAACACCACCTACCTGTACCTGTACAGAGAGACAATTTCTATAGCAGTGACACTACAGCAAAAATAGGGATATATGTGCAAAATATTGTTAATTTGTTGTGTTACCCATTCTGATATTAATAGCGTCCCCTTTCCTAATCTTTGGAAATCTTTTAAATAAACAATTATGCTTATTTGAGGAAAAAAATGAGTTGGTAATTTCTAATTAGCAGTGACATGGATCTTTAGTAGGAAGCAATCATTTCAAAAACGTTAGCATTTGGTTATCAGCTTGTGAGTTTGTTAGGTTCGATAGAAGTTTCACTTTGCAGTGAGAGTTTGGGAGGAAACACTATTTTCCAGGATCATGTTTCTTACAAAGGACTAAAATATGCTTAAGCCAACCTCCTCCCTGCATAAAGTTCACCTCTGAACTAAGACCAAACTGAAAACAAGGAACGCCTTGAAATATTTTGGGATGTTCTGAGAGCAAGGGATTCTAGGAGAGAGAGTTCATTTGATTTTTAGCACTTCCAGCACTTTAGCACTCCTTAAAGGTAAATGCCCATGACTTACCACCCTTATTCTTTTACTACATAGGATCTTTTTATATCACTATAAAACATTAGTCAACAAAGCTTAAAAAAATCCCGAGAATTAAAAATGTCTAGCTAGTTCAGTCTCTGATACCTACATTCTGTTTATGCAGTGTGTCCACCTGGCAGAAACATGAAAAAAATTTGACTCATAAGTTTCCGTCTGTCCTGTTTGTTTGTAACTTGCATTACGTGTACAGTGTAGCTGGATGGTGCAACAGTCGCCCTCACAATGTCATTAGTGGCTGCCAGATCCGGTGAGCTCCAAACTGCCACTGAGGCATTTTAACCAACCCGAACGCTGTTTGTTGAGATTACCCTCAAGACCACACATTACGGCTATTCTACAAATTTTTCCTTTTTTTAAGTCTAGCAGAGTCACATGCCAGTTTTGGCTCCTTTGAGAAAGCAGGCTTCTGGATTAGCTGGCCACCAGAGCCCGGTCTCCACTCAGTGCTCCACTTGGAAGTGCGGCTGACCCACACTTTGGTTTCTTAGAGTAGCCAAAAACGAGCATCTGGCCCTAATTTAGACTGAGCGTAGGGGCTCCCCACTAGCAGCAAATACGTCTCTTGCCCTCTTTCCTCTCTGCTGGGGTATAGTGTGGGGGCTGGATATCAGCAATACATGCTCCTGTTTTCCTGGCTTGGACTCTCTCACTTCCAGTAACATTCTTCTTTTTACTTGCACAAGCCTAGTTGACATTTCTGGTTGGCATGTTTGCCTCTGTAAGCCATTTTCATGACTGCTGGGTTTATTTAACACTCATTCAAAAAGTTTTGGAGAACCTACTATGTGCCAGGCACGTGATGTATGTTCTGGAAGGGGTGAGGAGAGGCAGAGCGTGAGAGGGGTGGTACCACTCCTGAACTAGAGACCTGGGTGCCCCTTCCAGGTGGGAGGTCTTGCAAAGTCTCAACAGAATAGCATTCACTTATCTTTTTAAAGTGGGTATTGCCTAATGAGGGCCCTTTCTAGCCCATCTTTTGGATTAAAATACATTTCAAGAACTGTGACATTTGAAGTGCACTGGTTTTGTGCGTAACATTCTGTGAGAGTTTTACACCATAGCAGAAAAAATGCAGTCCTCGCCTCTCATTGCTTCTATCTAGGCATTTTCTGCCTAGGAAACCTCAAGGAAATTTAAATAATACACTTCCCAAATCATACCTCAATAAAGTTGATTTCAAACAAATGAAAACAGTTTCCAAAATATTCCTTTCACGATTGCGAGCCGAAGACGAAACTGGTTCTAAAGCATCCCACAAAGGCGCAGAGGGCTGGCCAGAGCCAAAGAGCAACCCACGTCCCCTCGGCTGCAGCCTGCTCCTCACACTCATCACTGGGACTCCTGACTGGCAGCACACCCTGCCCCTTCCATGGGTAGCATCTAGTAACAAGTGCTTTCAGCTTTGCCTGACAGAGCTCATTGTGAAGCCCATGATTTTATTTCCACTTCCAGGGTGAAAATTACAACATCAGTTGGAATAGTACATCTGACTTGGAATAGACTAGAGTGGTCAGAATGATGGATCTGATATATACTTGAAGGGATAATTGTACACAACCAGTTTAAAAGCTGGTAAATATTTAAGGGTCAGGGGTTAAATGTCAAAGCCACAGTGCTTGGGCTCAGCTCCATAAAGTATCTAGAATGACTGCTAATTAAATCCAGGGTATATTTCACCAAAGGGAAATAAATTTGACAGCTAACAACCAATACTGGATTACCACCTTACAGAGGTTAGGGATCATGCTAGTAATTGTAGGTGGTTTACAGTTTTTAACCCAGTACTAATCGGGAGGATGATTGCTTACAGTTACAGATTACCATACTAAAGAAAGTTAAGTCTTATGAGCCAAAAATAAGCAGTACCACAAGCATATAGATCTGGGTCCCCTGGCTCACTTCTTGTTTAAAAATAAATGCCCTCTGGCTGTTGCGGAGCAAATCACTAAAACAAATGTAGACATGCTCACTTTTTTTTTTTCTGAGCTGAAAATTTTCTCTGTGATTAATAATTACCAACCAGTGCTGTAGCCAACTATGAAATTAGATGAATTGGATTTTCAAACCAGAGCAGCAAATTGAAGGCAGAAAAATGTCGGCTAAAGGTATAATAGTCCCTCTCCTAGTCAAACACTTGTCGTTGTACTTAGGTAATGTGATATTTTTCTCAAGTTCAGCATCCTTACATGGGCATGTAATTTGGACGCTCCTTTGGATGTCCCACCTCAGGGAAAAAGCTGTTTACCTTCAGATGAGATATACCTTATGAGCACTAAGCAAACAGAGTAATTGTAATATTTTAATAGGTATGTTTACATGCAGATCTTGAGATTGTTTCTGCATTAGGTGATTTATAGGGCTATATTAAGTAAATCACACTTGGAATGCTGTTCCAAAGAATGACTCATAAAATACTGCCATCTCCCCTTTCTCCTTTCAATAGAGAGCTCCAAGGGAAAGAGACAAAAGAGGAATTCCTCCGCTCTTCATACCAATCACAGTACTAACCAAGAAATCATCCCATTTAATAACAGTTCAGCTATTTTCGATATTTTATTTGCATTGCCAAGTCAGTGTAAAATAAAATTGTCTAACTCAAAATTTCACAGAGGTAAATTTATGTGGAAAAAAACAGCCAAAGCCTTTATAGAAAACCTCATCATCCCTGATACTCCAACTTCTGCAGGCTGAACTAATTACTGCATGATCTTTACTTGAGGTATTGGTTATATCAATTAAGTTGTTAGGAGTAATTTCAATAATGCTAGTGTTTGAGAGAACTACATAGCAAACATGATTTGCCTTAATTAGACTTTTAAATTCAGAGCCCTATCTAAGTCTGGAGCCAAGAGCTCTATTTTGATTCTCTTCTGTATTCACTTAGTTGTAAAGGGAAATTTTTTAATATGTCTGGCTCTAAGTAATTAGTTTGCAAATTTGTAATGTGAGATGTTGTAGGAGCTGAGTTGGGAAAGGAGAGCAAAGCCTCCTCCCTTTTTCTTTTATTAGCATTTCCTGTATCTGGAGACTTCCTGCAAGGATGGAACATTCCTTTAAGTTCAACTCGTGGGAGGTTTGCACCAATAGCATAAAATGCCTCCAGACAGGTACCTACCACTGACCTTCATGCACCTTTTGCCCTTAAAAAAATAGCAATGCTTTTATTTGTCAAGCCTTTCAGAGCACTTGGTGGGCAGTGGAGCCTGTGGGCGGCCTGAGCAGTGTCCCCCTAGTCCTCCTGTCTGCTCCCTGTGAGGCCTGGGTCTCCTTCCTCCCTGAGCTGTAGATGCTGAGCTGGAGATCCTGTCCAGACCTGTGGGAAAGTGCACAAAGCCCCAGCCATTCATCCTGCGTCTTTCCCACTCACTGGGGAAGGAACTCCCAGCAGGAAGGCTTCATTAGCCTGAAAGAATATCGTGCCTTCGCTTTAACTCTTTGGCCCCTATGGCAGTCAGTCCATTGAGTGCAGTATTCACATATAAGATGTCGAAGTTCTTGAGAGAGTCTTCATTGCTTGGCTCCCACAGAGAATTTTCCCAGTAACTTCCTTTACTAGGCAAGCGTTTATTAAAATGTGTTCCTGTCCACAGAAAATTCAGGATTCGGGACGGGGGTACACCACACTTACCAACACTTTGAGTCGTGCCATTAAGCATCGTGTATGCAAGTAACAGATTAGGAAGCAAAAAGGCCACATTGTCATGGAATCTAAATCCTGAGTAAAATGTAAGTTGTTTAGGGTTTCCCATTCTGCAAAGACCACATTTCTGTAATTTTATGTTAACTTACTATATGTTTTGAAGAACCGGCTATGTCCCTTCCATTGGCAAAGAACTTTCCCTCCACCCACCCCTGCCCTTTTGTAAATACAGAAAAATCACCACAATGATGACATACAATTATAATAAACATTTAAGAATCTTGTACTTTCCCAGGTTTATCTTATCATCTGAACATGTGGTGAGCCCAAATTGGTTGTCTTTTCCCTAAGGTACAATATTTCTACACATTTTAATGCAATTTACATTTTATTTTTAAAGACTTACAGTGACATATTTGAACATTCTGAAAATTAAACTTTGTATGAACGTAATTGCAAGAGTTAGCGGAAACTGAAATGAAATATAAAGACTTCCACTTCCTGTATATGAATTTTTAGCCTTTTCCCAAACTTTCTCTATTGTAAACTTAAAACAAAGTCTTATCAGCAAGTACCAAAGAATAGCAGCTGGATATCATTAAATCCCTCTGTCTAAGCTATTCTTCTTCATTACCTTTTTCCTGACAGCTCTTGCTCTGCACAGAAATTGTAACTTTGTGATAGAGATTTATGTAATTCAGGTGTCCTCTATCCTGAATGAGAGCTTGGCTGCAAAAGAATGAAGGGTTTGCCAGAGTCCATAGAGTTTTATAAGAAGAAGAGGGGAAACCATACGAAATTCAGTGAAGAAACACATGTTAATGTAACCAGTTCATCAGCCGCTTCTACCCAATCTCCCTTTTATGGACTATTTTCGTAAGAATATTTTTCTGCAAACTGATGTAGTTAGTAGATGTCATTATACTAATGAAAGGACATTAGCTATTTTATCATAAAGTATGCACCAGCACTTTGCAGATTCAGTGAAACTCTAAAAATGTCTTTATCTAGCAACATAATAGAAAATACTATGATAGACATCCAACCATAAACAAATTAGAACAGGCAACACAAATGCCTTTTTCAGTTTAGTGAAATAGCGTAGCAGTTGCTTAGTTGATGGTGACGTGGTAACATACATATGCCGATCTGTGAGCATTTCATTTGGCCTCTACTAGCTTTCATACCTCAAATTTTGAGTTCAGGTCTCAGAGTTTTTCTTTCATTTACACAGCAAAACCACCAGGAAAGAGACTTTAAAAGAGACTATCAGGCATGACAAGATACTAGTGAATCAAAAACGTACTTAAAAAATAAAGCAAACGAGGCCAGGCACGGTGGCTCAGGCCTGTAATCCCAGCACTTTGGGAGGCTGAGGCGGGTGGATCACGAGATCAGGAGATCGAGACCATCCTGGCTAACATGGTGAAACCCTGTCTCTACTAAAAATCCAAAAAATTAGCCAGGCGTGGTGGTGGGCACCTGTAGTCACAGCTCCGGTGGTGTGAACCCGGGAGGCGGAGCTTACAGTGAGCGCTACAGATAGCGCTACTGCACTCCTGCCTGGGCGACATAGCGAGACTCCGTCTCAAAAAAATAATAATAAAATAAAATAAATAAAAAATAAAATAAAATAAAAAGCAAATGAAAAAAATGTCTAATGACTCCCATGAACATTAAATTGATGGCCTCTTCTTTCCTTGATTTAACAGTTATTTTTTGCCCTATTACCAAATTGATATCTTAAAGAATTGTTTTACTCCAAATGCACTTATTATGTGCAGTTTTATTCATGGTTCCTCACAATCAACAAATTAAATGATATTTATGCCCATCTGCCTGCACTTGTTTTTTGAATTAGAAATACAAAAGAGATCTAAGAACTTATAAAATAGTTGGTTTATCAAGCCTAAAAAGACATAAATCTAATTTAGTAATTTAAATGTGAAAATTACTAGATTTTTAAAGATTATTTTATAGTGACATATCTCCTTCTATGTAAACTCTGTTTCACATTATTTTCTGTAAAAGCAGAATAAGAATTCACCAAATTTGTTATAACAACTCCCTACAAAGAATGCTGCTGATCTCCCAGCATGTGAGATGTTGTGGGAGCTGAGTTGGGAAAGGAGAGCAAAGCCGCCTCCTTCCACTCTTCTAGAGACACAGAATGTAGAATGCTGCCCTGAGTTCCGACCTGCAGCAGCATAAGCCACCTCCACCCTATCCCAGTGATCTGTCCCTGTGTGCTCTTCTTCTGGCTGCCTTAGGGTGTTCTTCAGCCAGTTTCAATGTCATGTCCTCAAGGAAAACTTCCCTGACAGACCCCCCCTTACGCAACACAGACTCTGTGCCCCTCCCGTCCGTGTTATTTGCCCCGTGTTAGCACTTAGCACTCACTTTATATTCCCTCCCTCCTTCCCTCTCCCTCTCTATCAGTAGAGAACTAATTAATATCTAAATAAAAAAATAATTAAACTGTGGTAAATCTATCATGTGATTTGCTTGCATCTGTAGGAAAGTACAAGAACATTCTCCGTGAAACTGAAATGCCCTCAGAGACATTAAGTTGAAAAAACAAGAATAGTGTGTATAAAGTAGTATAAAAAGGTGGATGGGGGTAATAAAACTGTTCCTGTGGTTGCCTGGTTGCAGGAAGGGGGACGGAACAAACAGGGTTCCCGGGACCTGGATGGAGAAAATCGAGTAATGTCACATTAATTTTTGAGATTTTAACCATATGAATGCAATATCTGATCTTTAAAAATGAGTTATTCTGGAATTATTGTATAGTTTAATAAGTTATAGTTTATATAAGTTTAATAAGTTTAATAGGAAATTGTTTAATAAGAAATTGCCCTTCAATTCTCTTTAAGAACAGAGTAATCTTGCATTTAACTTAGAAGTATGTTAAAAGCTTAACATACTTCTGATGCTTAAACCAAATCTTACAAAAGCACTGTAAATAAAGGATTTTGTTGTGTTTTGTTATTTAATGAAAGGGAGTTGCCGACTCTCCCCATAGATGTCAAGCGCTAAGAAAAGATGGATCCCAACTGGAGCCAACAGACAGATGATGTATCATGGTGCCTCTGACATTTGGTAACCTCCAGGCCCTCAGAGCAATTGCTCAGGGAAATGCAACATTGTAGGTCTGGATCTGTTCTACCAGATGGAAATTAGTGCCTTAAAATAGCCCAGCATTTTTCCCCCACCACTGAGAACATTTTAAATGGAATCTCTTTTAGATTTAAATATTTTTAAATCTTCAATGGACATTTAATGAATCCTTATAGAATAGCTTTTATTTTCTTGATAATTGATGAAATTAATATCATCTGTTTTAATTTCAAAGCATGCCAAGCATTTTAACCTGCAAATCCGTAACCTACCAGGATTGAACTTTAACTACTAGATTTTAAGGTGCTAATTCTTAATAATTTCTATTTAATTTTTTTGTAAATTTTAACCAGAACCTAAGCTCTGACTTTGTGATTCAGTTATGTTTGTATATACATGTCTTCATTTTTGAGTGAGTAAGAATATTAGAGTTGTTCTATGGATTTGATGCGATATATGCATTGTGATTTTAAGGAGAGCATGTTTCTCATTTAGATATTGACTAGAAATAGAGAAAACCTAACCAACAACTTCTTAATTTACTTTGTTTGTTTAATGAGCAGTTTGGGTTTGGTATTAATTTCTGCCTTCATAAATTTCCCTTCTCTTGAATAATGAGGATCTTTCAACCCACTGCCCTTCCATGTGAAAATGGTTTTTTAAACAACCTTGGTTATAGTTTTAAACTTCGCTGGAAGAATTAGGTCATCCAAAATATGTGTGGGGTGTGAAGTTTTGTTTTCTGCACAAAGACTTGTCATGAGTCTAAACATTTCTCTCTCAAGTAATTTACAATTTAATTACCTTGTGTTATGTTCCCTCAGGAAGGGGAGGAGAAGGGAAAGGAAGAAAAGGCAAAAAAAAAAAGTTTTAAAAATGTGTGCTGCATTCAGGATTTAGATTTCACCTTATAAAGTTTTTATTACAGCGTCCTCCTCCCCTCATTGTGCCATGAAATAGTGAATCACTCTGCTTGGTCTCTGAGGACAGATGCTGTTCTCATGTTTTATCCTGACACCTCCGAGATGAGCTTTCCATATGAAGGAAGGGAGGACATTTGATGTGTCCAGTGTTGTTCTGGGGCCTCCCCTTCTCTGGAAGTCACTGACACGTGTAGTTTTGGCATTGAAGCCCAGCGGGAGACGACATTTGGCCAATTCCCCTGCTGATTAATGTGCCTGAGGGTCCATGCCACCCTTTGCCCCCTTCCAGTGCATTAGTTTAAAAAAAAAAAAAAAAAAAAAAAGGCTTTCATACGCTCCACTGCCGGGTGAGCTGGGCACAGGTCCAGCGGCGCCAGCAATTTTCCGTCCTTTGTGTGAGTGATCAGAGGCCAACCCCACAAAACTGACAGTGGTTGCACTCAGTGCTACTAATGATCTTCAGTAGCCGAAGACTTCCTTCCTCGTGTGGCCTGAATGTTTTTACTGGGTAAATATGTGATCTGGAAAGTGGCCACAGAGACGCAGCCTGATAAAGTTCATCGTGTGCTTCACATGTTCATGCTGACTTTTCCGCTGAAGCTCATCAGGTCTGTGGCAGGCAAAGACAGAACTTACGAGACAGAAAATGAAAAGTTCGCTTTTGCCTTATAGGCAGTTTGCAGATATGCTTTCTGAAATGTGTCGGCCTCACTTTGTTCATTCTTTTCTCACTGAAAAGAGCTTTGCAGTCAAGCTAACAATGCATGTGGTGGACTATTTTTAAGACCAAGGAGTCTTTGGCTCTGGCTTACCTTTACCTGTCCTTTTCCACTTCTCCACTTCTTCATCCTGAACATCCAGTGAGTCCGGAACAGCCAAGTTACTGCTTGTGTAATGGGCACAAAAGTAGGTGATCATGCTGTGACTGGCTGTCAGTGCATTTACATGCTCTCCAACACACATAAAAAAAATAAAAGCCATCACTCCAGTCACAGAGTCAAATGCTACAAATAAAAATTAATCTCTAAGGAGTTTTGGATTGTTTTTTTTGTAGGGGTATAGAGAGTCTCACTCCGTCCCCCAGGCTAGAGTGCAGTGGCTCAATCATAACTCACTGCAACCTCAAACTCCTGGTGGGTTCGAGGAGCTTCCAGACTCAGCCTCCCTAGTAGCTGGGACTACAGGCACATGACACCACACCTGGCTAATTTTCTTATTTTTTGTAGAGATGGGGTCTTGTTATATTGCCCAGGCTGGTCTCAAACTCCTGAACAACTTCGAGACCAGCCTGGGCAATATAGCAAGTTGCTCAAGTGATCCTCCCACCTTGGCCTCCCAGAGTGCTAGGATTATAGACATGAGCCACTGTTCTAAAGAGATTTTAATTCTGTACCCTACCTTCACTTAGTGCTAATCAAACCACGTAAGATGGTAGTTTTTATATATTTATTAAATTTCTGAAGACGTTATCAACCACCTTATGGTTTTTTGTTCTAAAAACAAACCAACTGTGACCAGACAGAAATTTCCTTGGAATTATGTATTTACAAAAATTCTTATGGGGAGGGTAAAAGTGGCTGAAACTCCTCTTTGGCCTTTGTGCATTGGCTGTGTAGAGACCTGGTGAGAGATGGTGACTGTGGGCTGGAACTAGGCTACCAGGGATTGAACATCTAATTTTTCAATATGCTAGCTTGCTCTGGCAAATACCTCTAGAAGCAGGCTTCAGCTCCTTCAGATAAATAATCCCTACAGGTGCTTAAAGAATTTTCAAGATTTTATAAAAAACCTAAAAAGGTTAGGAATATGTGTGTTCGGATGAATCCTCAGAAAGCTGGAATAAAAAACTTTCTTCTATCGCCTGAGTGACATGGCATCCTACAGTGTTTATTTTTATTTTACTAAGTCATGTTTCCCTAACTGCCTCTGGGATTGTAATTCTCATTGATGAGTGCTCTTCTTTAGTCCCTTTGCTAAAAACTTTATAACCTTACCTAAAATACTTAAAATTGGCATCTGTTTAGTGTTTTGCAGTTCATAGAGATTTTCCCTTCACGCTTCCCTTAAGGAATGATTATCTGGACTCCTCGTTTTACTAAAGAAACTGAGAAATGGCACATTGGTAAGTGGCAGATCCAGAGTACAGGCATTCTTGCTTATATCACTTGTCACACATGGCAGATGGGACACAGCCACTGAATTCTCCTTTAGTTTCAGGATGGGAGGGCTTTGACCTAACGTCCAGGAGGCCAGTGTAACCAGCGGAATGATTTAGAGGGAAGAAAGCCATTGACTTACTTTAATCCTATAATGGCAGTAATGCCTTTGTAGCCAATCAGGAAACAATTTACAAATGGCCTTACCAGAATAACTCTGCTGGATCATTCTGATTTGGGAATATTGAACCTGTATCTGCATTGGCCAAATATAGCAAACAAGATAATCATGTTTATGTGCATTACTTTTGAAGAACCATTTAAAAATTATAATGCTTTGGGCAAATAGTTTCCTAGACATGAATGGAAGGACTACATTTTCTGAAGTGTTTGGGTACATTTTCACATATCGGTCTACAAAACAGGCATATTCTCGAAGAGGTTCTAAGAGTTATATATATTTCTTATCCCTGAAATGCCTTATAGTATAGTGTGTATACTATAGTGTATAGTGTGGAGGATTCAATTTTATATAAATTTCAGATAATTTAATATCTTGTTGATAATAACTATCACATAGATTTCTGAACAGGTGCCAGATATAGTTTATCATTCGCTTACATTCTAGGCAAAAGCAACTACATCATTTATTGCTGTAGTTATTGTTGGCTTAAAAAAACTAGAGAAGTGTTGTACCTTTGTTAGAGTGGAAAACCACTCACTGCTTAGGGCTTGCTTCTGTCTCATCTTCTTGTCTTTATTTCTTAACATACATTGAACCCCTGTACTATATCCTCTGTGGTTGGTTATATGTAATACAAAGCTGAATACACATACTCCCTCTCCTTAAGATGTTTAGAGTCTAGAACAGTGGTTCTCAATCCAGGGCAATGTGTGGAGACATTTTGGTTGTCGCTACTGGGGGAATGGTCTTGATACCTAGTGGGTAGAAGTTGCTAAGCATCTTAAAATGCATAAGACAGACTCCACAACAAAGAATTATTTGTCACAAAATGTCAGTAGTGCCTAGGTTGGGAAATCCTGATCTAGAGTAGTTTTAGTGAATAGAATTTTATCTGCTTATGGGAATGTTCTATATCTGCAATGTCCCACATGATAGCCAACAGCCACATGTAGATTTTGAGCACTTGAAATTTGGCTAGTATAACTGAGGAACTAAATTATTAATTTAATTTAATTTTGATTAATTTAAATTTAAATAAAAAAGCCACTAGTGTCTACCATATTGGACAGCGGCAGTCTAGAAGAAGAGACTGATAAGTTAACTAGTGATTACAGCTCTATGTAAGATAACTCAAAACCAAGGCTTGTGACAGTAGTTATGAGAACATACAGAAAAAGGATTCTGAATTAGGCTGAGGCAAGAGGCAGCTTTCCAAGAACATAGCACACAGAGGGTGATTCTTGAGCTAAGTGTTGAAGAGTTAAAATGTACCATATATGCCTATGTATAAAGTGGCTTGGAATATTTGATGATGATTTGATTCCCCCCGTCCACCTAATAAGAAGATTCATTAAAATACTAGGTGTAAGCAGCCAGATGTGGTGGCTACGCCTGTAATCCCTGCATTTTGGGAGGCCGAGGAGGGTGGATCGCTTGAGCCCAGGAGTTCACAACCAGCCCAGCCAACATGGCAGAACCCCATCTCTGCAAAACATTTTAGAAATTAGCCAGCCATGGTGGCGTGTGCCTGTGTTCCCAGCTACTTTACAGGCTGAGGCAGGAGCATCACCTGAGTGAGCCCAGAATGTTAAGTCTGCAGTGAGCTGTGATCCACACCAGTGCACTCCAGCCTGGATGATACAGCAAGACTGTGTCCCAGAAACAAAACAAACAAAACAAATTGGGTGTAGGGTCAACTTGGATAAACAACCTCTTAGGGGAAAATGCCTATGCATAATATATTTTTTTATTTGGTTATACAAACATTTAAAATTATATACACATACGCACACGTTCACATACATAGATACACACACGTATCTTCCTATATCCATATATATTCATTTAGAAATATAGATACACAGTTAACCCTTGAACAACATGGGTTTGAACTGTGCAGGTTCACTTATACATGGATTTTCTTCCACTTCTGCCACTCCTGAGACATCAAGACCGACCCCTCCCCTTTCTTGTTCTCTCAAGCCTAGTCAATGTGAAGACAAGGATGAAGACCTTTATGATGATCCACTTCCACTTAATTAATAGCAAATATATGTTTCTTATGATTTTCCTAATGAAACTTTTTCCCGTAGCTTTCTTCATTGTAAGAATACAGTATATGGTACACATATACAAAATATGTGTTAATCAACAATTCTTGGTATCAGCAAGGCTTGCAGTCAACAGTCGGAATTAGTAGTTAAGTTTTTGGTGAGTCAAACATTATATGTAATTTTTTTACAGTGCAGGGGTTTGGCACCCCTAACCCTCCATGTTAAGGGTCAACTATGCTACATTTTTAAAATTTCAAGCTGAAAGACTCACTTTGGTGTTTCTTGTAGGAGAGGTATAGTGGTAATGAACTTTCTTAGCTTATCTGGGAATGTCTTATTTTCTGCCTTGTTTCATGGGACAGTTTTGCTAAATATAGAATTCTTGGTTAACATTGTTTTTGTTTTAGCACTTTGAATATATCAGCCACTGGGCCTTCTTACCTCCAAGATATCATATGAGAAAATGGCTGATAATCATATTGAAGATCCCTTATATGTGATGAATTGTTACTGTTTTGCTGCTTTTAAGATTCCATCTTTACCTTTGGCTTTTGACAATTTGAATATGTCTCAGGATAGTTCTCTTTGAGTTTATCTTACTTGTTTGGTGAGCTTCTTGGATTTGTAGAGTCATGTTTTTCATCAAATTTGGGAAGTTATCAACCATTACTTCTTCAAATACACTTTCTGGCCCCTTCTTCTCTCTGCTTCTTCTGTGACTCCTGCAGATTATGTTGGTCTGCTTGATGGTGTCCCTTGAGTTCCTTAGGCGCTGTTCACTTTTTTTCATTCATTTTCATTCATTCTTCTTTCTGTTTCTCAAACTCAGTAATTTGACCTTCAAATTTACTAATTCTTCTGCTTGCTTAAATTTGCTTTTGAGCCCCCTCTATTGTATTTTCCATTTTACTTATTATACTTTCCAGCTCCAGAATTTCTTTTGGTTTCTTTTTTAAAATTTCTCTTTTTGTTGTTATTCTCATTTTGTTCATACATTGTTTTCCTGTCTTTGTCCATGACTTACCCTAGATCTTTGATTACCTTAAAGATAGTTATTTATCTGGTAAGTCCAAAGTTTAGGCTTCCTCAGGTATGTTTTATGTCATTTTATTTTGTTCCTTTGAATGCTCTGTACTTTCCTTTTCCTTTCTATGTCTTATTTTTCCATTGTTGTTGAAACCTGGACATTTGAATCTTAGAATGTGGTAACTTTGGAAATCCAGTTCTTTCCCTTCCCTAGCATTTCCTGTGGGTTTTCTAACTGTTGTAGGGTGTGTCTGTGCCAGGGATCATCCCAAATTGAAATCTTAAGATCTTGTGAGGTCTTTTCTGAGTCTGCATTTCACCCTGGCTATGCATGGTGGCTTCCTAAATCCCCTCATCTATGCAGCTGTTTTGAATAGCCAAAAAAAATATGTGCAATTCTTTTGAATCCCTTGGAAGCTGCTTCAGCCAGTGGAAGTTGAAATAATGATATCAAAGCCTTATCTTTTACTAAAGCTTATGTAAAACGTTAAAGCTAAGGAATCTACCTTAGGACTTTTCCAAAACGTGTGTATATACAGGTTTTCCAAAACGTGTGTATATACAGGTTTTCCAAAACGTGTGTATATACAGGTTTTCCAAAACGTGTGTATATACAGGTTTTCCAAAACGTGTGTATATACAGGTTTTCCAAAACGTGTGTATATACAGGTTTTCCAAAACGTGTGTATATACAGGTTTTCTAAAACGTGTGTATATACAGGTTTTCCAAAACATGTGTGTATATACATGTTTTCCAAAACATGTATTTATACATATATATATATTCCAAAACATTGTATTCAATCCCTTGAAGCGAGTGTGTATCCAGGATACATATATGTATATATATCCTGGATATGTGTGTGTGTGTGTGTGCATATATATATATATATATCCTGGATACACATACACACACACACACACACACACACACACACACACACACACACATATATATTTTTTTAAGAGACAGCGTAGCTCTTCTGCTTAGGCTGGAATGCGGGCCACAATCATAGCTCACTGTAACCTTGAACTCCTACGCTCAGGTGATCTTTCTGCCTCAGCCTCCCAAGTAGCTAGGACTACAGGTACATGCCACTGTGCCTGGCTAATTAAAGAAACCTTTTTTTTTAGAGAGTGTCACTATGCTGCACAGACTACTCTCAAACTCCTGGCCTCAAGTGATCCTCCCACCTCAGCCTCTCTAAACACTGGTATTACAGGCATGAGCCACCACACCCAGCCAGATATTTGTTAAATTATAATAAACAATAGCTCTACAAACTTCATTTTGTACATACTGGGCTTCTAAAATGAAATGATTTCAGATAACAATTTGAAACTTATATAGGGCCTCAGGACATTCTTGATAAAACCTCAGAATTGAAAATGCAATCAGGTATTATGTGTAATTAAAGTCAGGCTATTTTAACTTGCCTCATTAATTTGGAGTTTATAACTATATTGACAATATCTGCAGAAAGGATTTGTTTAGCATATTAATGGTTTAGACAAGGTCCAAATAATGCACACCTACAACAAACTTTTAAGCACTTAAAATAATTTTAGAACCTCCTTTTGCATGAAAACAATTTGCTAAAATAAATTTTATGTCTATTTGTAAATTTGGATCTCATATGCTCTCTACTTAGAAATATTCCAAGATCCTCTTACTAAAGATATAGTCGTGCACCACATAATGACGTTTCGGTCAGCGGCAGACCACATATACAGTGTTGATACCAGAAGATTATAATGGACTTGAAAATTGTTTAATCATGTAGTGACGTGGTAGCCATCCAAACATCATAGCACAATTACCTTATTTTTAAATTTCCTTTAGCCTAAGTGTACAGTGTTTACAAATTCTACAGTAGTGTGCAGTCATGTCCTAGGCCTTCATATTGACTCACCTCTCACTCACTCACTCACCCAGAGCAACTTCCAGTGCTGCAGGCTTCCTTCATGGTGAGTGCCTGTACATGTGTACCATTTTCTATCTTTTTATTTTTTTGAGAGAGAGCCTCAATCTGTCGCCCAGGCTGGAGTACAGTGGTGTGATCTCCGCTCACTGCCACCTCCCCCTCCTAGGTTCAAGTGATCCTCGTGCCTCAGCCACCCAAGTAGCTGGGATTACATGTGCATGCCACCACGCCTGGCTAATTTTTGTGTTTTTAGTAGAGATGGGGTTTCGCCATGTCTGCCAGGCGGCTGGTCTGAAACTCCTAGCTAGCCTCAAGTGATCTGCCTGCCTTGGCCTCCCAAAGTGCTGGGATTACAGGCATGAGCCATGGCACCCAGCCATTTTCTATCTTTTATGCTATATTTTACTGCACAGTAAAACTGTTTCGAAATGTTTAGAAACACAAATAATTATCACCATGTTATAGTTGCTTAAATGAGTATACAGATTTGTAGTATAGGAGCAATAGGCTATACTATATGGCCTAGTTGTATAGTAGACTCTACTATGTGGGTTTGTGTAAGTGCACTGTGTGATTTGGGCCCAACAAAATCACCTAAGGACACATTTCTCAGAATGTGTTTCTGTCGTTAAATGATGCATGACTGTGTTCAAACTAGTTCCTCAAATTAGACTGGCAGTATTTATTCACCATAGCTCAATTATGCCAGTGTTTAATTTATTTGTCTGCTATTTTGTAAACCTGAGGTTTTGTAATGCATTTGGTTTGGTCCATTTTTAAGAGGTAAGAAAATATATGCTTTGTAGAATTTTTATGTTTTCTGTATCCAATGAACATGTTCTCCCAAGAGTCATGATGTTTTGAAGGATGCTATACAAGTTAAACGTCATCAGCGATCTTCTCAGCCAATGCGTTGCTTTGGCACATGTAAATACCCACTAGGCATTGTGTCCTGTGTGCAACTCTGAAATGGTGACTGACTTTCGTAATGCGATTTATCTGCAAGTGAAGGATCTAACATCTCTGTAGTTCTTCCACCCTTTTGCCTCCTTGACCTCCAGTAAATTCTGGCCCAAGAGAGAGTGACTTCAGAAAAATAACCACATATTTAGTAAGCACCTACTATGTGTAAGGCACCGTGCTGGGTGCCCGAGGTGATTTAAATATGATAGTGCATGCCCCTGACTTCTAAAATCATATTTGGGAGGCAGGAAAACAACAAACGTATGGTACCACAGTCCAAAGCAGAGGATACAGGAGAATGAAATCGTTACTGGGAGTGAGGATATTAAAATAACAGCTAAAAAATATTGAGCACTTAAAAAGTACCAGGTACTTAATAGGCATTATATTTCATTTAATCCTCACATCCTAACTGTTAAATTTTGTCCCTGCTTTAAAAGGAGGCCCTAGGTGTGGAGAGTTCAAGTAGTTTACAAAAGACTACTTGAGTAGTTCATGTTAGTGGAGCTGGGGTTTGGATCCTCATCTGATACCCACATGCTTACACTCTGCCCTACTGAAAACTTCATGGGAGAGACCAACAGAAGACAGACCACCAGGCATTGTGAGAGGTGGGCATTTGGTGATATTTTTCCAAAACACAGATCAGCAGGCGTTGTGACACAAAGACAAAAAAAGTGTGGACGTATTCAGGGAATGTGAATAGTTAATTTTGTATGGGGGGCGGGGCGCGGCGGTATAGTTGAAATAGGCTGTACAGGGAAGTGAGAATGATGTTGTAGAAAGTGTAGAAGTGCACACCTGAATTCACTGGTTGTGCACACAGCCTTGGAGTTTCCGTCACGTTGCATGGAGATATGTTGCATTTGCAGAGAATGTGACAAGAATTGCAGCCCCTGGAATGGTGCAACACTGGCCACCCTGGATGAGGAGAAGGTTATAAGGCAACTCAATCACATAGTATACTTCAAGGGTCCCGGGCTAAAGGGATGGTGGTGGAAACAGATGAGAAGAGAAGCCTCAGGCTTGCACTAGTTGGAGTTGCTGGATGAGGGAGAAAGGAGAGTCTCAGGGATGGTAGGGTGGTAATAGCATAAGCACACAGGAGACACAGGAGAAGGGATGTTCTTAGGAGGAGGCCCGTCATGAGAACAGCCTGAGTGTGAAGTACTAGTATGCTGGGAATACCCCAGTGAAGGTGCTCAGTTAGGCTGCTGGAGCCATTCTGGTGTAGCAAGTGGTGGTGAGGTTGGGTTTTCTTTTCTTTTTGAGTCATGGACAGCTTTCCATGACCATTTTGGATTCTCAACAACAACAAAAAATGCATCTATTTATGCATATATTCTAACATAGTATCAGGAGTCTAATGAATATTCAAACTCCCTCCATAGACCCTCTGTGCCTAGCTTAACAATGCTTAGGCTAAAAACATAGATATTTGAAGCCATATATATTAGTGGGTAAATTTACTGGAAAACAGTATGTAAAAGGAAAAGAAGGGGGAGGTAAGGTCACAACCTTAGGAAATGCTAAACTTCAGGTGCCAGAAAGGGCATGTGGGCAGTGGTGGGGGGTAGGAATCCTCAGGACACATGCAGGAGGAAGAAGATGAACCTGCCATTTGTAGTGTCCTAGGAGCCCAGGGTCTTTCCACCAGAAGGCTGTGCTCAGCTGTGTAAGAACATACAATTGGGAAGATCATGACTGAAAAACTTTAGACTTGATGAGTTATTGCAGTTCAATATTATCCTTCCCATTTTTACAAATAACTTTGAGAAAAGAGGTCAGATTTTAAACTGAAGAAGAGCTGGTTGTGAGAAATTAGAGATAATACGGAATCTTATTAATTTGGTGTCACGATATATAGTAATTTTTCACTAATTTCTGACCCAAGAAAATAAGCAATTAGTAGTAACTACCATGCTGTGTTTGGCTCTAGAGGGCATTTAAATATAAAAATTGGGTAATTTTATGTATGTTGTACAAATAAGTTTCATTTTACAAATGAGTTTTGCCAAATATTTTACACACTTCTAGTATCCATACCAAATCTTTTTAATGAGCTCTAAATTATAAAAGTACAAAAAGCCACTGGAATTGAGAGGATGTTTGCAAAGAAGGAAATCCTGTGGTATAAATGACCCAAATTTATAGTATTTTCACCATACTGTAACTAGATTGAAGGATTTTTCTATTGCATTTTGTAATTTGGGGAAAACCTGTTTATTTCTTCTGTCAGACTTCTCTTAATCGGAAATATTTATAGTAAAATGTACACAAAAAGTACTTTTTACATTATAGGTCATTTTAAAGTTAACAGTATTGAAATATTTAAAATATAGGCGAGGCATTTCACTGAAGTTTTTACTTCTATATTATTGTAACCTGACTTAGCATCTCATATAAGAAAAAGCAAGTCTCCAAGTATGTAAATAAATTTCAAACATGCTTCTACTTTTGGTTTATTTGTATATTCATCACAAAGCCTTAAACATTAACAGATAATTCTATTTCTCCTTTTTTCATCTTTGTCATCTATTGGAATATTAACTGTTAAGTAATTTTCTAATTTTGCTAATCTAGAAAAATATCAATATTTTTCTTGAACTATCTCATGACTATGTATTGTTTCCACGATTCCTTTCTACTCTTGGAATTCGTCAGATTATTACCGGAGTTTGTATATGTATTTTTTTCCCTCTTTTTCATCCTAACAAACTCACTTCCTGTGAAAATAATCAGAGCACTGTCAATACTACCAGGGATATGTGACCTAAATCTTACCCCAATACTTCTCAGAATGATGAGTTTCTAAATGTGTTTGGGCTTTGCCAAGCCATCACACACTTTAAAATATAGCTATGGTTTTGAATTTCCAAATGCATTCACATTAAGTAATTTTATAATGTTGATATTTTTTAAATGGGAAAATGTGAGTTGGGTCAGAAAGCTACCTTTCACCCTGAGTTCTCCAGCTTGGTGACGTGTGGTACCATTTCATTATGCAGGACTCAGTGAACAAGAAGTCAGTTGTCATAGCCGTCTGTTTCCTGGTAGTTTACACACCAGAAACTGAAATCTGAGAATGGTACTTGAAGGAAAACAAAGAGCTTTACAGTATTTTTTTTTCTTTTCAGGAAAACACACAGAAGCTAATTTTAGCGTCTTGATCAAATTGACCCAGCCTTTAACCCTGGCAAACGTTACCACGACACACTTCCAATAGACAATAGTTTGCATACCAGCATTGCACTGGAAACAGATGTGCATGCAGAATTGGCGTCCCCTCCCCCGCCGCAAGACTGAGCCCGCCACTGTCATGAAAGTTGAAATGTGGTCCTTCCTAATTGGGGAAAAAACTAGGTCTTCTTTCAAATTTCAAACTACAAGCTTTCATGACTTCTTTAAAAATTTATTATGTCACAGTTATGTTTTGACCAGAGTTTCAAAATATCATTCACTAGAGAAACATCTCTTGGCTTTAGCATGATTTTTATCTTGGTAAAAAAAAAAAAAAAAAAAAAAAAAAACAAATAAATTGTTAGCAGCTGCGCTATTCATGAGTGATGGTTACACAGTTTATATATTAAAACGTTTGGAATGTGCACAATTACCTCTTTTACTTTCTCACCAGGTCTCCTACAGTTTATATAAACTGCATTTTTATTACCAAAGAACTGTCCGTCTTTCCCTCCTTATCCTCGCCCATCCCAGCTTGGCAGAGTTTGCTCCCTAAAGCCCACGACAGCGAGCTGCCCCCCGTCCCCACCCACCAGCCGCGGCTCCCCTGGCAGTGTTGAATTCAGCCTCTCCGCTCAAAAGGAGCTGGGAGGGTTTGCTCAGTTTAGGATTACTTAGCATAGACCCTTCTCAGAACCTCCGGGAGACCCACTCACTTCCGAAATGCAAGAGAGTTTTTCCATTTTTGCCGAGAGACAAGAAACAAATATCTGTGTTTCTTGAGCAATGGAAAAGGATGTTTCCTGTCTCATTTGCTGTAATAATTGCTTCTCTCAAAATATCCTTTCACTCTGGGATAGCTATAATTGGTTGCAGTATATGCATCCATATATAGAGTCCATGTATACAAGACACAATGAGGTGGCATTTTGTAAGCATGTTCCATAACTTAAAAATATACATGTGTTTAGAAAACATTGGCCCTGTGACTTCTCTGAGGCCATAGAGAAGTTAGTGACAGGCAGGCCTGGGCTAGAGCCCCATGCCCATGCGTGCAGGACCACCCAGTGGCCAGGAGCAGAGATTTCTATGTTGTAGGCAGAGAAATCTCAACTGATAATTCATATTTTTAAAATATGAATTTAGGGGAATGCATCATTGTTTAAAAAGCAGCAGGCTTGCAGTTATAAAGCACTATGTAAACTATAGTGCTTATTAGAATTTTGGAAATTCAGTGAACTTACTCAGTTCAAAAGTGAGTTGTTAGCTCTCTACAATATTCTTGTCTCTAAAGAAATAATGAGTGCTGCTTATTCCTGTAGGTGAAGTGTTTACATTAAAACGTAAACAGAATTTGAGGATTCTATTTAGAATTATAATTCATCTGTATGGAATTGCAGTAAACAGATTTTGGACTACTGAAACAGTAATTTCATGTGAGATATATTAAATGCAAAAGTTATTCTAAATTTTATAGGGTCCATAAATAACCATTAGTCAGATACCCAGACCGAAATGTTATTTCTTATATTTGCAAGTTAATAACCAATAGCTACATTTGAACTTTGTGAAGGGAATTTAAACTATTTTCCTGGAATTTTTGTTTGACTGCCAAAGGGGGAAAATTCTCATTGGACTTTGATTGTGAAATCCAGTGCTTTTTGTGTGTATGTTTTTACTACCAAAGCATTCTTTATCCACATTTTATTTTTTCATAATAAAATTCATGCCTCTTCTTTCAGTAACACATGAGTAGCAGCTAACTACCCTAAGTACTTTTCCCCTATTTATAATTTATATTAAATGTTTTCAAGATTTTAGGTTTCATTTCATTAATGCTAAGTCAGAAATATGTATTTATAAACTATAAGAAAAACTAGAAAATGTACAATATCATAAAATAATTGTTTTCAGAGAGCTTTTTATATTAGTACCAGACAGAAATGTTTGTGTGATATATGTAGTTATTGTGTAGAGTGTACCAAGATAAACACTCAAAATTAATGTAATACTTTCTGCTTAGCATGAGGATTCCTAATCTGTATCATACTATTTTATTTTCTTTAATGATTTTATCATTACAGTGAAGCAAGGAGACAAACATTACTCCTAAAATGTCTACTTGTCATATTCTATCTCTATGAGAAACATAACCCAAGGTAGATATATATATATATATATATATTTTTTTTTTTTTTTTTGAGGCAGAGTCTCACTTTATTGCCTAGGCTGGAGTGCAGTGGCATGATCTCAGCTCACTGCAACTTCTGCCTCCTGGGTTCAAGCAATTCTCCTGCCTCTCCCTTTCAAGTAGCTGGGATGACAGGCGCCTGCCCCCACGCCTGGCTAATTTTTGTATTTTTAGTAGAGACAGGGTTTCACCATGTTGGCCAGGCTGGTCTCAAACTTCTGACCTCAAGTGATCCACCCACCTCAGCCTCCCAAAGTGCTGGGATTACAGGCAGGAGCCACCGCACCCAGGCCCAAGGTAGATTTTTAAGTGGATATAAAGAAATATCTTTCAAAGAGAAGAGCTTTTCCATGTGACTTTTCTGATACACCAAGGTACAACTCAGTGCTTTTCACAGAAAATAATGAATCCGTCGAATAAAAACATTTGAGTTTATTAAAATAAACCACTTAGTAATTGCAGGGTATAACACTTGGGCCTTACCTGCATTAACTTTTTATTTCTCTGAGTATGTAAATATATATGTGTAAATACCAGCTTCTGTGTAGTCATGCCGCTTTTCTTAGGTGTGGCCACTGCTAAGTTACTATGATGAGTCTGTTTTTCAACCTTGCCAAGTTAAAAGAAAATGTAGACTCATTTGTATTAGAATAGGAAGGCATGTTCTAGATTGCAGTCTGTCAGTAGCATCTTGTATGTGAGTGTATGTGTGAGAGTGTGTGTATGTGTGTGTGTGAAGGAGCAGTGTGTTAAATATATATGTGTAAATACCAGCTTCTATCTAGTCATGCGGCTTTCCTTAGGTATGACCACTGCTAATTTACTAATGATAAATTTTTTAGATATGCTTTAGAATTAAGGTGAGTGGTATTATCTCTAGTTTGAGACAAAGAGAAGCGAAGTAACAAAAGGCCACATAAGTGATAAATAGTGGACCTGGAGTTTAAACCTGGGATCCCCACCTAAATCAGAAATACAAAATCAACCACTTTTTTGATGATCCAGGGTCTATGTATATTTATTACATGTATGTATATATGTATATATATATGCATGTGTATATATGTACATACATACATATAGATGTGCTTGTACTAGTGTTTTTCCCACCAGATAGTTAGCCTTTCTTCTCCCCTTGCTCACTTTTTTTTTTTTTTTTTTTGAGATGAAGTCTCACTCTTGTCCCCCAGGCTAGAGTGGAATGGCACGATCTCGGCTCACTGTAACCTCCGCCTCCTGGGTTCAAGTGATTCTCCTGCCTCAGCCTCCCGAGTAGCTGGGATTACAGGTACCTGCCACCACGCCTGGCTAATTTTTGTATTTTCAATAGAGACAGGGTTTCACCATGTTGGCCAGGATGGTCTTGAACTCCTGACCTCAGGTGATCCACCCGCCTCGGCCTCCCAAAGTGCTGGGATTACAGGCATGAGCCACTGCACCCAGCCAAAGGAGAAAACTTTTATTTAGAAAAACTTAACTTTCACTCGTTAGAAAAACGTGTTTTGATAATCTAATTTTTAAAAATGCATTAACTATGTCTTATCTTGGCTAACACATTTTAGTTGACCTGGTTATTTCCCAGAAATTTAACAGATACAGGAGATATATTCATTTTTGGTAATATTTATACCTGTCGTCATACCATAAATATGCATCATGCATTAATGTGCATTCAGATTATGTATTTGCATAGTTCAGTCTTCTGTACTTTCTATAGTTTTCAGGTGGGCTAGTGATTATGGGGCATACTTTTAAGGCAAGCTCTGTATTTCAGAAAAGTAAAAAGTGGATTCACTTTTTCCCCCTTTTTAGCTTTTTGCACCATTACAATTTTTCTTTCCTTTGCAGTTCTCCATTAAAAAAAGAAAGAAAAAGAAAAATAGTTGATCATTCTGTTATAATCTTCCTTACCGTACTGGGAATGGGTTGCTTTTCCTGCTGTTAACCAGGCTTTTACCTCCGTCCTAGGGTGCAGACCCTTGAAGTATTGAGAGAGTCAGGTCACGTGAATAGCATGCAGATTGTAGACTCCCCACAAACCAAGGGGTGCTCCTGACCCAGCTTCATCTGGAGCTATTGCCCTCACAAGGACAGAAGCAATTAAATTGTTTGTTCTGCTACAGAGTAAATGGTCTACTGAGAACTTGTTTGTACTTTTATATGTTTTTATGGTTAATGTTTTCAGTGACCCATGTTATAAAGTAAACCATAACTACTTCTGTAAGCATGTTATAGTAGTAAAGCAAAACTGTATATTCCTAGATATTTATATCACTTCACTCAAACCCTCGGAGTAAAACTTAAAAAAGAAAAGATTTCTTTCCAAACATTTCAGTTAGAAACTCAATTTCAGAACCTTGGCAGTCTTATGTATAGGCTTTCTTACATGATTGTTGAATAACATGTTATTATACGTGGGGGGAAGAATAGTTCTTTTGTTGGCTGCATTACATTTTGTGGTGAAATTGGAGAAAACAAATCATTAAGGAAGTCTATTTTGGTTCAAGACATTACACACTTATGACGAGTCTGTTTTTCAACCTTGCCAAGTTAAAAGAAAATGCAGACCCATTTGTATTAGAACAGGAAGGCATGTTCTAGATTGCAATCTATCAGTAGCATCTTGTATGTGTGTTATGTGAGTGTGTGTGTGTGTGTGTGTAAAGGAGCAATGTATTAAATATATATGTATAAATACCAGCTTCTATCTAGTCATGCCGCTTTTCTTAGGTATGGACACTGCTAATTTACTAATGACAAATTTTTTTAGATACTGCTTTAGAATTAAGGAAAAAAATATTTTCTCGATGAAATGTTAAACTCTGTGACAACCCCACCCAGACCTGCTTTTCTCTGGCAGTTTTCCTAGTCTTCCAAACTCTACCACCCCCCTTCCATTGAAACTCCTATCCCCACCTGTGCCTTATGGTCAGCAGACAAAAAGAAAGACCTCCACCACTTTAAAAAAAGAAGAAGAAGGAGAAAAACAAATCTGTATTTGTTTGTTGCAGTTTGTGAGCAGAGATAGAAGTATGAAAAGAAATACACTAAACTTTACATGTTCATTAATTGGTTGAAAAGGTGGAGAAACCTGTTAATTCTGTGCACTTCTGTGTTCTTTGATTAATGACAATGAGAATATATTACTTTTATATGAGTTATAAAAAACAGAAAACAAAGCAAAATCGTTTACAGTATACTGAGAATTCCCAGTACTGTCTTCCATATTACCTCTTTGGATAATATCCGTATTTTAGAAGGGAGTGCTGCCACTGTATATGAATAAATCGAATTAATGGTGGTATTTTGTTGGGTCCCCATGATACAGTCATCAGTGAACACCTGAGCTTTGGAATGAGACAAAATTGGAATCCAGTCATAAATCAGTCGTTTTATGTGATTTAAGACTCCTAAATAAGCTCTCTGAATCCATTTCCTTATCTGGCAGTCATAAAAATATTATTTCTCTAAGGTGGTACAAAGATGAGATAATTAAAACCTGCTAGCACATGGCAGATCTTCCATAAATACCACCTGGGATGTTGCCAAGCACACAGTAGGCTCTCATAAATACCGAGTGAATAGATAGGCGAATGAATGGTCACTTCTTCTCCCACCCTCTACCGCCTACCCTATCCCACCACCTTCAGGGTCAGATCAAGGCAGGAGAGCAAGCCCCCAACTTGGCTCAGCGCCCTCACTGGTGGGGCAGTGAGCATGCGTGCTCGTTTACTTCCCCTTGCAGAGAGCCGGGAATGTTAGCAACCATAGTGTGTCAGAGGTGGGGAAATGGATTTGGTGTCATGGATGAAGACTTTCTATTCCCAGCTGAAGTTCTTCCTTTTCCTCTTTATTTTGCAACATTCTGTCAGCTGTTTTCTTGTGAAAGAAATCTGGAAGAGTGAAAACAAGAATTGACATCAGGATAAGGTGTAAAACAGGCAGAGGGTCATCAAAAACAGCTGAGCTAACGACAGCACGCTCTCTGTAGAATGTGTCTTGGCCTTCTTCTTGTGTTCCTTTTCATTTAAAAAAGAAAGCAAAAAGAAAGGGATTGGAAGTCTCATCTTTTGCCTTGTGAGTGGGAGTGGGTTTATGTTTAAAATCTCACTTGAACAACCTTATAGATTATTTTTAATAAAAGATGTTTGAAAAAAGCATGTGGCCCATCACAAAGGAGAAAACAAAAATTTAGACTGTTTTTCGTTTGGTTTTCACATAAATGGATTATTCCATGGCCATATTCACCAAGTGGAAGGTCCCCTTTTAATTCCATATAAGGCTGTTGCGCAGGTCTAGGGATCTATTCAGTGGGATCAATAAGGTTGAGACCACATGTAGCCTTCGTTTAGAACTTAGCAGTAAAAATGAAGGCACTGAAATTTTCTGCTGTAACTATTTTTCTCCAGAAGTACAGAAGTTATATAATACTTTGTGAAAATATCCCTTATTATATACATTTGCATATAATAACTTGGGGTAAATTTTTTACTTATATGGCTAATTGAGACTCTAAGCCTGCCTAAGGTGAATTGCTGAATTTTTTTCGGTAGATGAATTGCATTTTTATTGCAGACAATACATGCATTGGGTGACAAAATCTGAAATGATCTGAAGTATTTGAACACAGAGTGGAGCCCCAGCTTTCTATGTGAAAAAGATGTACTATGTACGTGGGAGATTAACCCACAGCAGAATTTATTTCATCTTAAAGAGGGGTGTTTTATAACATGATTATGTGTTTTGTCTTAGAATTTATGATACTTTATTGCATGCCTGTTGTCCACAAATGTGACCTATTTTGTTTTCCATATTTGATTTGAAATAGACACCTTTCTTTCCTTAGTACAAGTCAATTAAATACAGAACTGTTCCTACTATCATTTTTAATTGGAAACTGAAATATCAGGAAATGTTACAGAATCATGAAATAAATGCCAGTTGTTTAATTTGTTTTATATAAAGAGGTTTAGAGACTGAATTATAAAACAGGATTGCTTCATATAAATGAATTTTGAATATATATATATTTACGTACACATATGGCATCTAAAGATTTAGTATAATTAAATATGAATATAATTTTTAAGTTATCAGTCAAATATATATATTACATCCATGTGATATTTCTTCATAAAAACACAAAATACCTTCAGATTAAATCTGTATCTTTTACTTTAGAGTTCCTTAAAACTATGAACATGAAGTTGCTCAGGTCTTCATAATATCCCACACGTGTTTAACGTGCTCTCTTGCCTCATGTGGCACAGCCCCAAACTTAGAACATACAGTGTGGGTGGTCCTGAGGGTTCCAAAGGCAGCTGCGTTTTTTTTTTCTGGGTGCCCTTATCTTGAGTAATAGTGTTGAAAACATTGTAAGACTTATCAGAATGTTCCAGTAGTCTTTATAGTCCCAAAATGCACACCTCTTTTAGAAAAGAAAGAAAACAAAAAGCTGTTCTAGCCGTGGTCCTTTGAGTGTGGGATGCTTCTTCCTGTAGTGGAGAAGGTGCCTGTCTCTGGTACAGGCACTCCTACAGCTAAGGAGAATGAAAGCCTCCCAGTTTTGCTAACTAAAAACCTTCTTGTAGCCACATTGCATTTAATCAGACTCTTATGCTAGAACTGACATTCTGATTTGGTTTAAAATTATGTGGTCAATCTTAGTTTTTCTTATCAACATGTCAGAATCTGCTGAAATGAAAGTGGAAACACAAATCACAAATAGGCTCCAGGTTCCCTTAGAACACTGAACTTCATTTTGAAAGTACAGCACAGCTCTCATAATGTCAGTTTTCAAAATTTACTCACATGAAGCAATTAGATTTTACAATTCAGGCTCTATATGTCTTTATATAAGCCCGAATATTACTGTTTATGTTAAGCAATGCATGGAATCTATTCTCTGATTTTCCCCCTAATATTTCAGTTTCCAATTATAAGACAATAAGATGGATAATTCTGTATTTAGTTGACTCATACTAATAAAAATCTAAAAGGAATTAAAAAAAATAATACATGAGCACAAATCAGTAAAGGCTTTATTACTAGAGGAAAAGTCAGTGGATCGCTCCTACCCTCTTACTTGAAGACCTTACGTGTCGCATGGGGATGCTGTAATCTTTGGAAAGATGCTCTTATTTAAACCTCTGGAGCTCTCTCTGTTTTCTCAACCATCCATTATTAGCTATCTAGAACTAATTACTCTCAAGGCATCACTTTAGGAATTTTATGATTCTTTCTGTCTCCTGGGACATCATGTAAAGTTTTCAAATGATAAAAGAAGCCTCAAAAAGTTATTTCTTTTTCTCAAGTCAGGTGAAGATAGGAATGGCTCAGGAGTAGCAGTTTCTAAAATAACCTCACTTAGGCATTGAGCGCTGGGTTTCTCTTCTGAACCTTCATCTAACGAACGCTTTAAAGTGATTAGCTTAGAAAAAAATAATTCTTATTCTTTCCCAAGATTCTTGAAAACATATTGATTCTTAATATCTAATTTTATTTCAATTTTTTTAATTAAGGTTTTTTTTTTTTTTTTTTTTTTTTTAAGAGACAGAGTCTTGCTCTGTCACACAGGCTTCAGTGCGGCGGCACATTCACAGCTTCCTGTAGCCTTGAACTCCTAGGCTCAAGTCATCTTCCCGCCTCAGCCTCCTGAGTAGCTGGGACTGTGCTCATACACCACCAGACCCAGCTAATTAAAAAAAATTTTTTTGGTAGAGATGGGGTTTTGCTGTGTTAGCCCAGCTGGTCTCGACCGCCTCAAGCAGTCCTCCTGCCTTGGTCTCCCGAAGTTCTGGGATTACAGGCATGAGCCACCATGCTTGGCTTAATAACTTATTTTAGAAGCACCTAGAGAATAATAAAAAAGATAAAGCAATAAAAGCACTAACAAAAATAAATTTCTGTTCCCAGTATACATTCTTTTTGTACTGAAGTCTAAGAAATCTACATCAAACTGAGCCTTTTGTTTTCTTTTCAAAAACAGATGAAAAAACCATCTACCTCCTCTTCAATGAGACTGAGAATTTACACTAACAAATCTCAAACCTGGTTGCATAATAACTGCAGCTTCCTCAGCCCCTGGTTTGCAGATCCTGAATCAGTCGGTGGGGGGTTTGGGAACTGGAATCGAGTTGTCCTCCTCCTGTTCTGGTGTCTCTGACCTGCTCCCTTCCTTTTGTGGCTTCTCCTCTGTGTCCCCTTTGCTGCCCCTTCTCTTCCTCTTCCTCCTCTCCCTCTCCCCCTTGCCTTTCTTTCCTCTGCCCTTTCTTCTTTTTTTCCCCTCAGATCCTCCTCCTGAGTTTCCTAGAAGATTCTACAGCTGCCAACACTGGGAACCTCTGGTTTGCTCTACTTTTCTAAATTTACTGTTAGCGAAACTGTGGAGGCCCCAGTAGGTAATCCTCTGGTCCTAGTTTATGGACTGAAATCCCCCTTCTCACGCTCTCTTCACATCAGTCACCAGGGTCCTGGGCCTTTCTTTAACTTGCTCTGTGCTCGGAGTCCTGTGTACTTTGCTGGTCCTGTTTACTCTGCCTGGACTACACAGCCTCTCCCTGGCTTGTGAGCTCCTCCTCGTTCTATAAGGTCCTCCTCTAAAATGTTGCCTCTGTGAGTTTTGCGCCAATCTACCTTTTACACCATTCAAAACGAATTCCTCTCTCTGCGGTACTTCTATAGCACTAGTGCAGATCTGTATTTAGCATTTATTAGATCTTAATTGTAGATCTCTTCCCCTACTTGACTATGATTCCTCGGACAGTAGAAAGGTATCATTTGTATATTTCCAGCAGTGTACCTGGAACATAGTAGGTGTACAATGAACATTGGTTAAATGAATATCAGAGCTTTTGATTCTAATATGAAAACAGAGCTTTTTAAAATTAGGTACTTAATTTCTAGTGGATTTGTGTTAGATAGCCCAAGAGAATTCTGTGGACATTGTACTGTAATGGACCATCAAACTTACTCAAAGAATTGCAGATAGCAAAATAGGAATAGAAAACCAGTACATCACTGTCATTAAACGTGGAGTGCCTACTGTGTGCAGTGGCAGTGGAGGATGAGCAGTATTTGCATCTTTCAGTGAGGCACGAAGGTTGTGCCTGTAGATGTTTCAAATGCTTGTTGTAACAGGAAGCAAGACACCTCTTTCCCGTAAGTCTCCAGAAAGCATTGTGAAGGGCTTCAGTTGAAAAAAAAAAAAAAAAAAGCTTGACTAGTCTAAATATTTTAATTATTGTACAAATAAGATTTTGTGTCTTAAAGATACAATAAAATGAAATAATCTACTCCAGTTAAAAGCAGTACTCATTTATTTCATTTATTGAAGGTGTTTTTAATCACCTACTCTGTGAAAAATACTGGAGAATTATAACTAGACATTAATAAAACTCAGCTGATAAGGCTTCCATGACTTGTTTGTCCAAATGTCTATTCATGGCAGTTCAAACTTCATGGCATCATACTGAATATTAGAAAAGATCGCAAGAGTATGTTCTTAGATGACTTTTATGGAAAAGGACATATTTCTTTTTGACAAGGGTGAAAGATCTTAAATAATTATTTTATCATTTCAACTTCAGAAATATATGAGCGTTTACTCAGCACAGCATTGTCTTGTGGTCAGTGAAGTAATCAGAAAACCAAAAGAAGACTGTAAAAGTCTTTCCTCTAAACACAGGACCAGCTCTCATCAAGATTCTGTTTCATGTTGTCAGAATCTTCCTAAAACAATTACAAACCACTTTACAGCAATACTGGGAGAGGGAAAAAAAAAACTAGGAGAAAAGACAAGCTCATGCCTAAGTATCATTGTGAGATACTTCCCGTTTCCACAGAAAATGCCACAAGGATACATAATTGCCACAAAGGTATGTTTTTAGTTTCCATTATTGTTCTGTTTAAAAGCCAAAATGCCTAACTTTGATCATTAAATGGTGTTCTAATGAAATTAGCCACAGTGATAAAGGAATAATCGTTCTAAATGCCAATCTGATCTCGCCATTGGCCTGCTTGTCTGCAAGGTTATGTCCAGTCATCTCCTTTGGCTGAGGAAACCCTTAGTAATTTTGACCCCTGCCAACCTTCCCTCTTCCCCTCCTCCCTGTCTGTTCCCTGGCAGATCAGGCTCTTCACGCCTCTTTCACATACCCTGCTCCCCCTGCCATAAAACTGCTCCTTTCAGCCAGGTGTGGTGGCTCACGCCTGTAACCCTAGCACTCTGGGAGGCCGAGGCAGGTGGATCACCTGAGGTCAAGAGTTCGAGACCAGCCTGGCCAACACAGTGAAACCCTGTCTCTACTAAAAATACAAAAATTAGCCAGGTGTGGTGGCACACACCTGTAGTCCCATCTACTCAGGAGGCCAAGGCAGGAGAATCATTTGAACCCAGGAGATGGAGGTTGCAGTGAGTCACTGCACTCCAGCCTGGGTGACGGAGCAAGACTCCATCTCAAAAAAATAAAAATAAATAAACTTCTCCTCTGCCCCCTGCCTATTCCTCCCACTTGTCCTGCCCACCTATCCAGCTGAGTTCCCTCCCTCTGGTGTGCCCCATCCCACACCTGGGGCTGCTCTGTGACAGCACACAGTGACATACGCAGTTAGCCAGCTCCCTCTCCTCTGGAATGTGAGCTCCTCTAGGGGAGGGCAGGGCTGTGCCTTATTAATTTCAATACCCCACCCCCGGCTCAGGGGCTACCACATAGCAACTGCTCAGTGTAGTTGAGCTGCGTAACCGAAGGAACTGTTAACCACATTTAAGAATTAATATTGGTTATTAAAAATAACCCTCCAATGTTTATCTCTGTGACACTTGATACCAGTGTCTACCCTTTGATATGTGCAAATAAGACTATAAATATAAAATATATTTCAAAGTGAACCTGAGTTGTATTGTAACGTATCACCCTCCGGTTACCGTAAATATTCCATGCGTGGTTGTTGCATCACTCTCCCTCCATTCCCCTGAAAAGAGAAAAGATTCTCTTTTCTTTTATACCAAGATTGTCTTTTCAGGATCTTAATCCTGATCTGTTCTTAGGATTTCAGAATTCTTTCACTAGCCCTCTTCTTTGTCACTAGTTCTTTAATTTACACAGTTGGTTGGCTGGTTCCTGTTACTCGGCCTACAAATCTGTCCTATGTCATCTCCTTTGAGTAATTTATATCCTCCATAAAATGCCACGTAGAGGCACTTTTTCACATTTTTGAGTAATGGCGAGAAAGAATCGCCTTGGGAATCAAAAATCCAATGAGTCACAAGATTATTTTGTTATTTATGACCAGAGAGTGGTCATTGACAATATTTGGCAATTTTACAGCTATGAGCCTAGGCTATTGTGCTTTAGAATGTAATTTATTAAGCAAATAAAACTCTTACTGGTAATGGGTTCTGTTAAACCTGGGGAACCACGTGAGCTCCCGGCCGGTACAGCTGTGGAAGTTTCATAGTAGCCACATACATCTCAGATGTCTGGACACTAGTATTTTACACTTACTTCATGGTTTTATTTATTCAGTTGCCTTTATATTCTTGATTGGATTCTGACCAACCATTTTGGTTTAAGAAGTCATCAACTTTGAGTAGTGAGGGAGGAGCCTGGAGAAAATAAAATGAATTTATGTTGAAAAAACATAAATCCCTCTTTCATTAGATATGACATTTAGTAAATCCAGGCTATAAAGAAACACCAGATGTGTTCATGGAAAGTATTGATATAAAATCATCTTTGAGAAAGAAAAAGATAAGGACCTAAAATTTCCTTAAATACTAATTGTGTTTAATTCCATTAAATATAGACACAGAGATAGGTAAATAATGGATGTGTATAGGTGTACACACACACACACACACACACAGAGAGAGCATGCACTAGTGCAAAGAAGTCTGAGTGAGCAAGCTTAGGATTTTTTTTAAAAAATTACTCATTTATATCAGTAGTATTTTGTAATGTTGGGTTCAGTTTAGTAAGTAATGGAATTCTAGCTATTATCTTTTAATATGTTTGGAGGAAAGGAAAATCTTGAAATTCTCAAGATAAGTTGATCTTTTTCTAAATGGCAACATTAGGCAATATTAATTTTTTAATATTTTAAAACTTGAAATTTATCTCCTTTGATGTAACCATTGTATGTATGTACCTGGCACCTAGGATTAGAGAAATTCAGTTCTGTACTAAACTGTATGAAACACTGTCAGGAAGCCGGATCTAAATTCAAGCTCTAAATAGTGATCAATAAGAAAATTCCATTTCTTTTGAAAGTAAGTTCTAGATGTTCAGCTAGCTCTCTGCTCTACAAGTCATTCATTTAACCGCACCGTAGCCATTGCCTCATGTCTCTGTTTAGCAAGAGGTGGACAAGTAAGACTTCAGTATGTGTGGTAGAAGTGGCAATAATAAAAATGAGATTAGAAGGAAATGAAACTAGTTACGTGACCTTCAGGACTACCTTTAACTTAGCCAAGCCTCATCATAAGGAAAAGCTAAGAGCCCCCAATTTTCCAACTAACAGTCATCATTTGCCCTGAGAAATAGGATCAAACCAACAGCACGGCAGCAACTTGTTCATTCATTCAAGCATGTTCCTTGTTCCTGGTACCTGACTCACCTTAGGAACTGTGAACACACAGTTGATCAAATACATGACAAGAAGTTATCAGTTTAATCAGGGAGGCAGAAAAGCGTACTGCAAATTACATAATACAGTGGGAAATGGCTTTTCCTTATGAATTTCTAGTTATTTATATAGTCTAGAAATGAAGTCCTCTGCTAGTTATGTCCATTGTAAATATTTCTCCGAATCTGTGGCTTTCCTTTTCGCTTCCTTAATGCTCTCTTTTGATGAGCAGTTTTTATCTGTCATGAAGTCCAGTTTATAATTTTTTTCATGGTTAGTGATTTTTGTGCCTTTAAGAAATATTTGCCTTAATCCTTATGATTATGAAGATATTCTGTGTTTCTTTGAGAAGCTCCATAGTTGTGGCTTTCACATTTACCTCTATGATCCACTGCTAACTAATTTTGTGTGTGATGTGAGATAGGGATGGAGATTAATTACTTTCCACATGGACATCCAGTTGCTCTGGAATCTTACTGAAAACACCTCCCTTGGCCCCACTGAATGGCTTTGATGGTGTCATTCAGTTAAAAATTAGAATAATAGATACATTTATAAAAACTATCCTAATGAATTCTAATGAGTTTATGGTATAGGTATTGTCAAAACAAGGGTGAAAAATGGACACAGTTTCTGCCCTCATGGGGTTCACAGTCCATGGGTCTACCCCTTGATTAAGATTGAAACAGGGACAGGATTGTATGAGAGTAACAATCCGTCAGCTTAAGCATGGGATCCCTATCAGTAAATCTCACTGCCTCTAATATGTTCTTTGAATTTTTAAACTAAATATTGTGACTAAAACAAAACAATTAGGCTGAGTGCAGTATAATCCCAACACTTTGGGAGGCCAAGGTGGGAGGATTGCCTGAGCCCAGGAGTTCGAGACCAGCCTGGACAATATAGCAAGACCTCGTCTTTACAAAAAATGTAAAAATTTGCCAGGCATGGTGGTACAGACTTGTAGTCCTGCTTCTCAGGGGGCTAAGACAGAAGGCTCACTTGAGCCCAGGAAGTTGAGGCTGCGGTGAGCCCTGATTGCCACACCGCACTCCAGCCTGGACAACACAGCAAGACCCTGTCTCAAAAAAAAAATTATAATTCTGAAAATGCTTTTTCAAAGCATAAAAACTGCTTCCACTCCTCTCCCCGTATTGAGATTTTTCTGGTCTAAATTAAGACAAATATGCATATTATATTTATAGCACGAAGACAGAATCTATCCATAATTCACAAGGCTGGAGTGGTTGAATGATGAGATTTCTTTATCCTAAACCTGATGACATACATATACAGACTGAGCAGTGGCTGTCAACTCAGAGGAAGAACCATTAGTTGGTTCCTGAAGTTGAGAGATATTTACGGTTCTATTTTTGAAAGGTAACCATGGCTTAAATAAAACCCTGTGATTCAATGCTAGTATCAGTATGTGAAAATATCAACAGAGCCTCTTTCTCATTTTGATATGTAAGAATCCTAAATTCTAACCTAGACAAATTCAAATCTATTATATGTCACTGCCAACTATTAATAGCTGTAATAACAGACGGTTTTGGTGTCAAATAACAAAATGGACAGAGTGGAAACAATGTTTAAGCCCCGATTTGTTCAGTTACAAAAGAGCCTACAGACTCGGGTCTCATTAAGGATTTGTGTGTATGCATGTGCGTGCCTGTGTGTGTGTGTGTGTGTGTGTGTGTGTGTGTTCCCATGTGCTCGAGGTCTCTTTTGACAGTTGATAGAGCACCCATCCTGAAATTCAGTCTTTCTTTGATTTGAATTACATTGACAGCATAAACCCTAATCTAAAGGAATCTGCCTCTCTAATCCAAAACCGAGTTTTCAATTTATAAGAACCTTTAGTAGTATTCAGTACGTTAGCCTATGATAAGCAAATACTAGGACCTGTTTTAATTTTTGAATGACTAACTCCTTCCTCCAATGTATGAGGGACTAAATTGGACTTGGAGAGAAAAGTTGATTACCCAGATACCTTTTTAAAGCTTTTTTTCTTTCCTTTGTTTCCTTTTTTAGAGACAGGGTCTCACTATGTTGCCCAGGCTGGACTCAAACTCCTTGGCTCACAAGATCTTCCTGCCTCAGCCTCCTGAGTAGCTGGGACTACTGTCTCATACCAGCAAGCCCAGAACCCACATATATTTTTATATACTTACCACAATTACATATATCTACATTTTCATATAAATTGAAGTTTCATAATGAAGGAGCATAAAATTGGAAACAACCTAAATACCTTATACCAGAGTTTCTCCAACTGTTTTTGTCTCAGAACTCCTCTTGACAGTCTTAAAAATGCTGAGGGTCCAAAAGCACTTTTGCTTATGTGGGTTATATCTATCAACCATAGTAGGAGATAAAACTGCAACATTTAAAGGATATTTATTCATTTAAAAATAACGTGATAAATATTTTTATGAAAAATAACTGTATTTTCCCAGACAAAAATATTAGTAAAGTGGCATTGTTTCAAAATTTAAAAAAATCTCATTAATGTCTGCATTAACAGAAGACAGTTGAGTTCTCTTAACTGCTTCAGTATCTCCTGTATATCGGTGAAAGAATGTGGATGCCAAAGAAGTATGGTTCTAGTATTATCATAAAAATGGTTTTGCCCTTGAAGACCAAACGAAAGCATCTTAGAGACCTCCAGAGGTGCCTGGACCATACTTTGGGAACTGCTGCCCTGTACTGTTAGAATGCTTATGGTAAACATGTTAGAGCAGTACAGCAGAATACCATATAACTCTGTACAGTGGCATGTATGTGGGGGACTGTCAATACATCAAAATACACTTTTTAGTAAGATATGTTCCTCCTGGTCAGAAAAGAAACAGTGTATCTTGTAATACTGTAGTGCATATATAACTACCAGGAAAAATAAAGCATAAATGTCAGACCCCTTCTTATATTAATATTTAATAAAAATCCAACAACTTAGCATTGAACCATCTCAAAGAACTAAACTAATAATTTACCTTATAGAAATCTAACAATATAAAGACAGAGATATGAGTTCTGTGTTACTGAAGAGAGACCCATCAGCTCCAAAAATGAAATAAAGCAGGTGGGAAAGTTCACACTCTGTTATAGATGGTAAGATAGCTGTCTTCATTTCTTTTTGAAATAGAAAGCCACTCAACTTCTTTAGAAGGTTGGCTACAGGATACTTAGAGACCAAGGTTTTTCCTCGAACGAAGGCATTAATTCTTTTGAAGCCCTTGGAAATACATTCCATTGAGAGCTTAGTGTTCTATGCCTTAAAGTTTGGCAGAGATGACTTTAGCCTAAAAAATATTAAGGGTAATATAGTTCAGCTGCCATTGAAAATGAGCGTATGATGTTAAAGAATTTTAGAAAATCACAAAATAGAATAAACACATTTCTGCCATGTAAAAAAAAAACCTATTGATAAGGATTCGAAGTGAGTTTTTAATAAATTTTTAGAATTTTCTGTTTGCTGGCTTCTTTCTATAAAGTTAATGTATAATGAAGTTCTATAATTTTAAATGAAAGCATATACAATTCATGACACATAGGAGATCTGAGTGTTCTGTGGTAGTGAATCTGCTGAGGCCCAGCACGCACTGCAGTTCTGATTCACTGGCAAAATTAGCAATAAAGCCAACAGTTTTACCCAGAATCCCAACAGTGGGGAAGAAAAAAGCAGAGAGGAGAAGTGGAGGTGGCAGACGCCACAGTTACCAGTGGTGGAGATGAGCCTCAGGGATGGCCGGGGTGCGCCACATGGGCATCTGCCCGCTGGCCAGCCGTGAGTTCAGACTGACGGGAAATGCATGGCTTCCACGGCCTCTTTAGAACCAAGCTGGTGTGCACAAGGGGAACTCGCCACGTAGCAGTGAGGACTGGCAAACTGCACAGAGAGCTTTTATTGTTCTTGCTTCTTTAGAGCAAATGAATTTACAAATCAAATTGACCATAAAGCATTTAAAGAATGAAGACAAAAAGGAAACAGCGCATCTTATTAAAAACAAAAACAACGACAAATTAATGGTTAAAGTTTCGCCTTGAATTTGAGCAGTCACCTTATGCTTAGAATCTGTTTTCTTGTGGTGAACAGCCAAGTTTTACCTTCTCTTTTATTGAAACCCCTAGGATTTTGGCACTTCTTTCAAAATGTGTATTAAAACTCAGAGACACTAAATCATACCTGTGAGCTTAAAGCAGCAAAAATAATTTACTGACCTTATTCACCCCTTCAGTTGCAGCAAACTCTTTACTGTATATTTCCTGTACCCCAAGCAAGTGGAGAGTCCATTTTTTACTTCTGAACCTCTCCTCCACTCTCTCCCACCTCATTTCCCCTCAGTGTAACCAAATATTTTCAGCAACTAGAGGCCCAAACAATCTTGTTAACTTAAAAGTTTTCCTGCAGATTTATTGACCCAGCAGAGTTAAACAGGGTAAGTGTTGATCAACACCTCTCAGGTATTTCTTTAATTATTGGCCTGGCATCTCTAGAGCCTAATAAAAATTTGTAATGTGAGTTTGTAATAAAGTAACTATTATATTTATTTATTTATTTATTTATTTGGGGACGGGAAGGGAGCATTTTGGTTTTTCTAAAGGGGAGCCTCCACCTTTTGCCATAAATTGTAGCTGTAGCCTTGATAATACTGTGGTTGAACAATAAGGTCTCAAGGGCTGCTCGCTGAAAGAGATTAAACTGTAATTAAACTACACTATGAGTAAGGAGAGACGGAAAAAAGAAAAAAAAAATTGTGGTTTTCATAAAGCAGAAAAGAAATACATTGACTGGTGTTTACAGCCCAGAGACGTTTTTTGCCTTCTCGACTGCAAAACAGTCTTATTTTTAGCCAGCCAGGGTTTTGCAAGAATGCCGTATCAATCCCACATTTCTGTTCTTTGAAATAATTGCACCAAGCTGGTCCCAAATCAGCAGTAACTAACTGAAAAGCAGGAGGGAAACATTTCTCAAACATACAGTGCCGATGAAATTTGCCATAACACTATGAGTTATGTCGGCTGCCTGCATGAGGTTCCACATAATGGGAAAAAAGAATTTAACTAGATCTTAATTGAACATGCAGCTACATAATATCCTTTTGTTTAGGCTCAAAAATGGATTTTTTTAAACCTCCTTATCAGCGCAGCTATTAAATATTGTGGCTCTCCAGCTATCAGTCTCCGATCAGCACAGTTAGTGCATTTTACCTTCCAAGGAAGTGCACTTTGAGCCAGCTGGAGCACAAGAAATGTAGGAGCTGGAGAAAGTCGTAATTGAAACAGGCGACTGCTTCAGTACAGACAGGAAATAAAAGGAAGACTGGCCCTCCAATGGATTAAATTAGATGTTTCAAATTCAGACAGTATCAGGAAAAAGAAGACTTATGTTAGAGGGGGAAAAAGGTAACAGTAAGTTCATTCAGCGGAGCGCCCCCTCCTCCCCGCATAACACATGTTTTTGCTGGAATCTTACTGTGCCGCCCTGTAGGGCAGACTCGCCCAGGCCTACCTCCTGCCGAACAACAGCGGAGCAGGTCCCTGTGTTAATGTCACACTATCCTTTCTCTCCTGCCTGCCCTCTCCCTTTCAGAGGCCTTTGGTATTCTATTTCCATAAATTAGGCGTGAAATTATGTTGGGCTGAGGATACATGATTTCAGCTGTTTTATAGTTGGAAAGGAAAATCTTTTAGACCTAAAGCAAAAACATTTTTTTAAATATACTTCCTGCCTTATTAGTTTGAGATATGCCTATTATAGAAAATGCTTGCTGTGTAGAAACTTTATTATTTTTTTTGGTCTCACAGATTGCTGTCTTGTCCTTCAGTTCAAGTAATATTGATTGAGTAACGACTATAGGCAAGATCCCAGACTAACTGGTGTCTGCAAAATTGTACATTCATTAGGACAGTATTAATTTATGGGAAATGTAAATTCTCAAATGAAGACTTGTACCTCTGTTGAAATATTTGAAGAAGCTGATTTTATTTTACATTGGAATAATCTACTGAAACTTTCAACATTTTTTCACTTTAGGTGGTACTGCATCTCCGTTTTTCTATTTAGGCAAATATGGCCTTTATTAAGTACAATTTGCTTAAATATCCAACTCCCAATTTTGTTACTGGCAATGCCTGAGACAGTGGCTTTTAAGGTCAGTGGCTATTTCAACATTATAGTGTCCAGTGCCGTTTTTATTCGGGGTGGGAGGGTAGCATTAGATGAAGTCTTTCTCTGAGATGTAAATAAATAAACCACAAAATTCAACAAGCTAAAAATTACTGTGGTTCTTCTTTGTCCCCTCATGAAAGCTGATAAAGTTGAACAGTATAGCAAGTGGACAGAATTCCAACTTTCAAGCTTGAAAATGCCTTTCTTTTCTACCCTCTATGGCCCTCTGTGTGCGGAAAACATAGTCTTGGAAAAATGTGGGGCTTGTGCCCGGGGCTGCCCGCCAGAGCCAGGCCTCATTTGCTCAGGTGTGCTCACCGTTTTAGCTTCTTGAATTAAGCCCTGGGAAAATTCCTGTGCAAACATCTGCTCCCTTTGCCCTGCCTCTCCGACGGGAGTGAGGTGGGGTGGGGAATGCATCATGTGAGTGGGTTTTGCATGGAAAATGTTGCGGGTTGCCTCCACTCCAGCTGGACAGCTTTATACAGCTATAAACCTTTACTGCTGTATTAAGGTTCTATTCAAAGGGTATGAATCTCTGATATTCATGGTCCAACAAAACTGTTACTAATTACTTATCTACTGAATAGCTACCAGGATTGGCAGCTTGAATAACAATCACAAAAATCTGTGTACTCATTATTCTCCAACAAGGCAAGATTCTCATTCCTGTAAGGAGCATAGCTTGCTTTTTTGAAAACTCATGAACAAACTGGAAATGTCTACTTGTGCCCCCTTCCTCAAGAGGCCACCTTGCATAGCTTCCTCACAGAATATTTCTCTGTTCCTGAAAGGTAATTTCGGTGCAGGTCTCATAGAATAAGCACATTTTACAGCTCTGGGCAGGCTATTCTAGTCACAGGTCCTCATGGTCCGGGCTCCAGGGAGCACCTGGAAGCAGATTGTATCCCCCGAGTGTCACTTTTCAGGAGCAGGGATGAAGTGGCAGCTGCCTGCTGCAGAGATCTGTCACATTCACTACCCTGAAACAGGACACACTCTTCAAGAATCACCAATAACCAGAGTTCGCTCCTCCAGCAGTTCTTCCCAGAAGTTTACTCAGCACCTTGACATCTTTTGGTGTGACTCCATTCTTGGAGGTCCAGACCCACCTCTGTGCTTTCAGATGCAGAATCACATCCACTTCTTGCAGCTGTTTGCTGTGCTGTGCCTGCTTCACCCAGGGCTAAGGAGCTGATGATAACTGTGCAGTGCTCTGAAGAAATAGATGTCTAATCCCAGCACTTTGGGAGGCTGAGGCAGGCAGATCACTGAGGTCAGGAGTTCAAGACCAGCCTGGCCATTATGGTGAAACCCCATCTCTGCTTAAAAAAAAAAAAAGAAAGAAAGAAAAAGAAAAAGAAAAATTAATTGGGCATGGTGGCTCATTCCTGTAGTCCCACCTACTCAGGAGGCTGAGGCAGGAGAAACACTTGAACCCAGGAGGCGGAGGTTGCAGTGAGCTGAGATCACACCACTGCCCTCCAGCCTGGGTGACAGAGCTAGACTCCATCTCAAAAAAAGAAAAGAAAAGAAATGGTTGTGAGTAGGAGTCATAAGAACATTCTGCTGGCCTTTTATAGATGTCTAACCCTCCTGAGAAAGGTTGGTGTTACTATCCACTTTTTACAAATTAGTAAACTGAGACTTAAAGAGTTGAAGAAGCTCACCAATATCAATACAACCTGTGTTTGGAGTTGCTAGGGTTCACAACCAGAGTTCTCAGAATCGGAAGCTTCTTTATTTCCATATATCATGTTACTTAAACTAGACCTTATTCACCTTGGAAACCTAAATTTTATTTCAGGAGACCTTGTCGAGAAGGAAGAATTTCAGAGGCCAACCACCATATGGGCATCATCAAGCAGCCCTAGTCAAGGTGGGAGGAAGGAAGGGAAGGCTGGCCTCCTCTTCCCCTGGCCTCCTGCTCTCTTCCCTTACTGCAAAGCTCTGAATCACTGAGACCATTGCAGCTAGCTGGGATTTTAATTTTTTTTAAAAAAAGACATTAAGGTATGAATGACCTACTATCTTAACCCTTGGAGAGTCTGTTAATCTAAACAAATCTCCAACCGATATAAATGTGTGAGGAGGTATTTGAAGTAGTGGTTGAGTTTTCTTGTGTGTTCAGAGAGGGAGTCCCAAAATTAGTGTATCTAGGAACAAAGTACGCAGTTTGTTTCGTAGGCTGTAACCCTGAAATCAACAATGTGTGTTAGTGGCAACATACAGCATTAAATGGGTAGCATATGCATATATCAAGAGTCATCTTCTCTGGAGTCTCCCTCCAGTTTTAATTCTCCCTCCCTCCCCAGCCCCTCAGCCAATTTCTCTTGATTTCCTTGCTTTGCCTTCCTTCTTTCCTGACTTCTGTTATTCTAGAATGTGACTAGAAAGTAGGGAAGGAAAAGCACAGCCCTATTTTCTCGTCTTCTTTCACCTATTTCGATAATAATGAAGACCTTCAGACTTAAAAGTATATCTTGATCACAGTTTTCCCATTTAAAAATTATTCCCATCAGAGGTATCACAACTTGAAAAAGAAAACTAGACCAAAGGCAGGTGGCTGGGAGTCAAAAGGCACCGTGTTGCCAAGGCTTGAGCTTTCTTAGATATATGCCATCCACTCCAGCATATCATCGTTAGAGATTAAATCCATAATAAATTGGATGTTTTAAAGAGACTGTTTTTTATTATCTGAACATTGAGGGGAAAAGAAGGAGGGAGCGGGGGACTCTTTGCCAGCGGGAAGCACAGAACTAGCTGCCTCCCCTCACCACCCGCACCCTCCACCCTCGTCACGGCCAGTTCTCCACTCTTACTCCACCTCCAGCCCAGATCCCTGGCTCCAGTCCCTTCCCTCGCTAATCTTTGACCTACACGATATCCTAGGGATCGGTAGGAGTAAAGGTTTGAAAGTTCCTATTTGAAAACAAGTCTTAGTGATCAAAATGCCTCTTTGCTGGCTGGTGAAGTATGGACCAGGCCCAGAACACCCTATGTTTGACAGAAGTAAGTTGGGGGATTTTTAAGTTATTTGTGTTCCAGTACTTTCCATAAGGAAGAAGTATGTTTTGAAGCAAGCAAGATACAGGTTTGTGTTGCCACCAGTGTGTCATAGCCTGCAGTTCACACACCCGGTGTAGGTGTCAACAAAGCTGTCTCGTATTCTCCAACAGTATGCGATGCCAAAACCAGAAAATGGGATCTGATTGCAAGGGAGGCACTGGCAAAACAGAACTTTACAGTGCTCGGTTCTGTTTGACATTTAGGGGACATTCGCTTGGAGGACTCCCAAACAAGTAATACGCCAAGAGAAGGGATGGCTTCTGCCTTCTCTTGGAGATTCAGCGGGTGGCTGGCTTTAGGCAGAATTACAGAGCCTTCTGATCCAAAGGAGCCTCACGCTTCTACCTCCACATGGGCCTCACTCACATTCCAGCTACGAGAAAGCCTGGATGCTCTTCCAGACCCACCCACACAAAAGGTTTGCACAAGACTCAGTGGTTCTACAGGTTCTGCTCTTATCTGAGAACTAAGTACAGAAACAGTTTCTTAATATTTCTTTAAAAATCTGGTTTCTTTTAAAATTATCCACTACAGTGACTTATATGAAAATCATACCACAGTGTGGAGTTGCATCTTGCAATGATAGCTTTTAAATTCTTAAAACTTTTAAGACAGGAGTGTGTGTGTGTGTGTGTGTGTGTGTGTGTGTGTGTGTGTGTGTGTGCTCTGTAATTAGAAGTAAATTTATACATCAAAATTTAAGCAAGGTTGTTCTTCAGAGTGCAGTCACAGTTAATGAAATTTCTAGAACTTTGGAATGAGTGCTTTTCTGAAGCTGGTACAAACTGAGATCGAAACCAAAACTGGAAAAATGTGAAAACTTTGTGTCCTTTGACTCCTTTGTTCAAGAATTGCAGGAAGATGTTTTCCAGGAGTACTTTTGAATATATAAAACCAGGAAATAACTATGTGACATTCCTAGCATTAGAACTGAAAAATGAGTCAGAGACAAAACTGAAACAAACAGAGACATCAAAGTGTCTGTTATCAAAGTGCAGATGCCTTGACTTGTTAGCAAACCTGTCCTGGTATATGCCAAGGCATGGGATCTGGTAATTATAGAGGACACTCCAAGCTGTGCCCATTGGGGTCCACAAATGCACACCTTCCCTTGTATTTATGTGAATGGTGTCCCTTGGAACATAATTTCTGAGCTTCCTGGGTTCAGATACCGGCTCTGCCACACATCCTAGCTGTGAAATGCTGGCCAAGTCTATTAAGTTCTTTCTGCCTCAGTTTCTCTCTATGTAAAATGAAGATAATATTCATACTTACCTCATAGGATTCCAGTGGGAAATTAAACACATTAATGTGTGTAGCTTTGGACTGTGACTATTTTAAAATGTTAGTAACTCTGATGATGATGATAGTACTGACATATACTTGCCACTGTGCTTTTCATTGTACAAATCAAAACATCACAAAACACTTACTTGAGAGGAGCTTTCAGTTTCATAGAAAGTCAGCATAGGTGGACACAAGTCTATTAAAATATTTATGACCTAAGCTCAAGAAGGAAGTGAGAGAGTTCTTTTTACCTTTTTAACATGTGGAGTTTACCAGATACACCTGTGCTTATAGCAGGCCAGCTATAACATTTAAATGACAATTTTTCCACTGACTGGGGGGTGGGGACGCTTTCATGACAAAACTGTTTCACCTCAGATCATCAAGCATTAGAGTTTCATAAGGAGTGTGCCACCTGGATCCCTCGCACGTGCAGTTCACAGTAGGGTTCACGCTCCTGTGAGAATCTGATGCCTTGGCTAATCTGTCAGGAGGCAGAGCTCAGGCAGTAATGCTCGCTTGCAGGCTGCTCACCTCCTGCTTTGCGGCCCAGTTCCTAACAGGCCATATACTGGTACTGGTCCCTGGCCTGGGGTTTAGGGATCCCTGCTTGAGCACACAGCAGTCATGATCTAAGGATCATTTGTTGGGCATATAGTAACACCATTCTTCCTACATTTTTGAGCCATTTGAATAAACATTCCTCACTGAATCAGATCACTTTTTTACTGACTTACTGTAAGGGAATGGGTAAAGCATCTGATGAGCGTATCAAACATCACTACAGTTTGAAGGAGCTACATCTTTCCTAAGTGCAGAGGAAGGAAGAAGCTTGTTCTCTGCTTCCTCAAGTTTTTCGCTACTAAAACAAAGTGAGCATTTGAATGGAAAACACAGCAAATTAATATTTTATGATTGTTATTTTTAACTGAAGCGAGAGGGTCAGTGAATTATTATGTTGCTAATGGAGCAAGTGTATGTAGAAGTTCAATATTAGAAGATTGAAATAAATTTTGAGGGTTGTGATTTGAAGTCATATTATCCCAAGGAAATTTTCCAAAACAGCATCAAATCTGAGCTCCCAAACATGACTTGATCATTATGAGCATTTGGGGAGCTTTATAAAATTAGAGTTTCCTGGGCCCCTCTCCAGTATACCTAATTGCAGTCTGCAGGCGTGAGGCCTGAGAATTTGTATTTTTTAAAAGTGCCACAAGGGTCTGAAAATACACTAAGAGTAGTCTATAACCTGGACCAGCTTCACTTTTTATCCTATTTTTTGAAGATCTATCATACTGAAAAATGACAAGTTTCATACTTTTTCTTACATAGATTTTTTTTCCTACATGTCTTCCTGCCTAAGATTTAATGACTACAGATCCCAGATCTCGGTAAGCCTACAAGGAGGAACTATGAGGCTGGGTGGACTTCCAGAGCCAGCATTCCAGGATCTCTTCCCCAGAGCCCTGTCCACAGTTCACAGCTGCAGAGCCCTCCAGGTCCTGTGGGGTTGTTGAATAGAGAAGCATACACAACCCTGTGCTTACATGGGGAGAAGAACTCTTTCCGCTGAAGCCACACCTCTGGTTACCACTTTCTCTTCCGATACAGGCATCCTGCTAATTTGGTGGAGTTTGTAGAGAGAAGAGAACTGGCCAGTCCCCGCCTTCCCCCCATCTCTGGCCTCACTGTTTATTGGGTCACTGTGACTATGCAGATTATATATTTCGGATAAATTATTAGCATTCATCTGAGTGCTTATTTAGGGTCCTGTTGCAAATGTTTCTTGAATATTTTAAAATTAAGGAGATGTTTAAATTGAGTACACTGAAATGTGGATGACTGTTAATGTGAATGAACTGCTTTCAGAATAAGAACATTTATTTACAAGTTCTTTAAATTGCAAAGCTTATTATACCATTGAAGCATTTCATGTGAACTTTCTGTTTTGAACTAATCTTTAAATTTTATTTGCATTCAAAGCATATTTCCTCCTGATTTGCCCATTTCTCATTGTTTGATTATCATTTTAAAATCTGTAATGTTTCATTCACCTTTTAATTTTTCCCCAATAAGGAAATACAGTTTATGAGGCACGCATAGATACTCTTCCTAATAAATGATTTAAGAGAAATATATGCATATATGCATCATATATCTGTATGTATATATACAGATATATGGGAAAAGGGATGAATATTCAGAAGGAAGATCAGTAGACTCCACACAGTCATTTTAGCCATTAGACTAGTGTTGTATGCATTAGTGTAATTTTGATGCCTTGTGGGTTTTAGATATAACTGGGAATTCCTTAAAAAACAAAAAATCTGTACCTCAGAGTCTTTGGTAGCATGTAGAAGTCTATGTATGAAAATACATTCATTTTTGATGATGATGATGATTGTTATTATTTTTGAGACGGAGTCTGACTGTGTCACCTTGGCAAGAGTGCAGTAGTGCTGTCTCAGCTCACTGTAACCTCTGCCTCCCGGACTCAAGTGATCCTCCCACCTCAGCCTCCAGAGTAGCTGGGACTACAGGCATGCGCCACCATGCCTGGCTAATTTTTGTGTTTTTGTTTTTGTTTTGTAGAGATGGGGCTTCGCTATGTTTCCCAGGCTGGTCTCAAACTCCTGGGCTCAAGTAATCACCCACCCCACCTCAGCCTCCCAAAGTGCTGGGATTACAGGGGTGAGCCACCGCACCTTGACCCCAGCCTCATTTTAGATTACTTAGGATATCATCGTCCAGGTGCAGTGGCTCACCCCTGTAAATTAACTTTTAAATACATTTAATCTAGAATGGACCATCTGTCTCCTTTTCAGAGGTTCCATATGATTTTTATATATTTGGGATAAGAATGACGTGTCCCGAATAGTACACATATAAAGGTCTTGTCAGGAAATGTATATAGCTCTCAATCAATCTATAAAATGATTTGGGTACCATTGTTAATATCCAGAGTTGAGAGGAAGTTTTGAAAATGATATTTAATCATTCCTTCAACCCAACAGTGTTAACCCTACTGTGTTATGAAGTCAAACTGAGGCCAAATTCTCTAAGGCTAGTACATTTTCTGCAGCTTCTCAGTACCAGATTTGACCTCAGATTCTGTCCCTAGACATAGAACATTCCATGGTTTCGACCACCAACCAAACACCCAGCTTTCTATATAATGCCGTAGTTTCCTTTCCCTGTGATTTTTGCTGATATACATGTGTCTTTGTTTATTTAAATGTTTTGTACCACCTCAGTGGTTTATATATGGTGCTGCAATTTTCCAAGTATTTTTTTTTTTGCCTCAGTGAAGTTATTTTAGAGAATATCTTAGATTAATAAATCTTTGGATTAGAGTAGACATACGTAAATGGGATTTGGAATGCAATTATTTAACTGGAAATCTTCATGGGTTTATCATAAAAGGAGAAAGAACCCTCTAGGTGTTGATAGGGCATTGGAAAAGTGGCCAGTAAATTCATTTCAAAATGTTAGGATAAACTCCTCAGATAGATCCAAACATTATATTTTGTTGTTTCTTTTTTCTCATCCTCCTGGGATAATCATTCACTGACCCAATCTTTGTTTAGAAGTATCCGTCTTCATCCCCTGTTCACTTAAAATGAAGTTATTCCCACGTAAGTGTGTAAAGCCCTTTCCATCATTCCACTTCTACCATTATTGGCGACTCTGTCCTATAGACCTAAGCACATTATATTTTAAACTGAGTACAAACATTTCTTCATTTTTGGCAATAAGCTGGTCAAACTTTCTGTTTTTTTAAAATCTTAGACATTTGGGAGAAGCACTGAGATGTGAGATACACTGGCAGGGAATTTGTGTTTCTCCAGGAATACTAAGCAAAATGAGAAACCCAGAATTCCAGGTGACCATAAAATTGCAGAGAATGAAGGAAAAGGGTAGTAATTTTCCTCTACGTGGCTTTTGACTTCCTTTGGCATTTTAAAGTAGGAAGATGAGCTGCCTTCACAATAAACTATATGTATCACCTCTGTACACAAGGTACTCCAGTCTCCACCTGCGGTGGCTCAGAAACATCCAGGTGTCCTGGAGTTGATGACATTCGCTGACATAAAAGCAGACTCATCAAGTCCATGGACATCTTAAAGATCATAAGTCAGATTTTTGTTCATGAACTTCTTGAAAGAGGTCATTTAAGGTTTCCCACCCTGGTTCAGGCCTACTTTAAGGGGAAATGGAATTTATAAGTTTATCTGAATTTCTTGTAAACTGTTCTGAAGTGAGCTGGAACTCTTAAGCTCATGTTAACCTCTATCTCTATCCCTAGAACAGATTCATAGGCTCCTAAAGCCGTCCTGGAGTAGAGAAGTACCTCACAAATGCATAGTCATTTTATCATGGGTTCTGAGACTATCATAGAACACAGGACATTGGGGAATGTATCATGACCCAGGAAACTGCCCCACAGTGCCCCTGGAGGAAACCTGAAGAAGTCGTTTGTTGAAACTAGAAGAGATCACTATTGCAGTGAGTGTAGATAGGGAAAGGGCATCAAGAAAGGGGTGAAGATGAGATACATGGGGATTAGAGGATATACTGAAGAGTGAAAACGTCTAATAAGAATTTCATAGTGAGAGATGGAAAATATAAGGAAATTATCATATGAATATGTGAAGAAAATTTCCCAGAGCAGAATGTAATTCTTGAGATTGTAAAGGCTGTGTAATTGTCCAGCTCAGTGGATGAACAAAGACCCACACCAAATACTGTTATTGTCATATTTCAGCATTGGAGTTAAAAAGAAGATCATAAAACTTCCAGAAGTACAGATTTCAGACACATGATCAGGAGTAAATTTGGCATTCTATCAATATTGGAATAAGAAGCCAGTAGAGCAAAACCACCCTCTAAATTTTGGAAATGACTTTTAATTTGAAATTCTAAACCAAGTCAAGGTATTACAGATATTTTCAAACACATATCATTTTTAATGTAATTATCCTCCATGTACTTTTCTGAGAAAGCTATTGGTAGATATACTCTACCAAAACAAGGGAATACATCAAGAAAGGTGAAGGTGTAGTATTCAGGAATAGTTGCAGGAGATCCAACACAGAGAGAGAAGGGAATTCTCAGGATGACAGCAAAGGAAGTCCCAAGCAGACAACAGTAGCTGGTCTAGGTGAAACGATCAGTATCGAAGGTGAAACAAACTGGATTGAACACTGATCCCTTCAAGAGAGATGTTTCCAGGAGAAGAGTATAAAGGAAGCAGTAGGTTCTCTGACAGGTTTGAAGGTATGAAAAATTACATTGGCATGTGTGTTATAGAAAGTTGGAGAGTGTGAGAAAATGATATATAAGGAAAACTAATCCGAGGAAAAAAAAAAAACTAACAGTTAAGCCTGGTGGGGAAAGGGGATGGGTTTTTAAAGAAAGGAATGAAATCATGTTATACTAGTTGACTCTGAAGAAAATAATATTTATATAGAAACTAATAATTGCTACTATGAATATAGACTTAACCAAAAATTGAGAAGTAATTATAGAGGGGAAGTGAGTTTAAAAGTATATAAATATGCTAAAAATTCTGTAGTGCTGTAATAAGTCAGTAGTTAATTCCTCAAATACATCGATCAGGAGATAACAGAATAGACACATCATTTGGCAAACTATAAGTATTGAAAGGGGACTCTGAAGAGTCTGGCAAGGTGGGAGGAGCAAGAAACAAGAGATTTCTGTTTTTTATTATCAGTCTCATCAATATTTGACTTTCTATATTACTTATATATGCTATTTTGATTAGATTAAAAATTCATTAAAAAATGTGTCATTTGGCTGTATATTATAAACAGTAGTAAAGTTTAAAAATATATTCAGGTTTAATCTTTCCTAAAAACACCAAAATGCACGTTGTATTCTAGGAACAGGAAATAATATGTTAATTCCACTTAGGAGGAAGGGAACAAACCATACTTGTTTCTTATTTTTTCTGATTTTACAAAACCAGTGACTTAAAACAACACTGCTGTGGACTGAATTGTGTCTCCCCAAAATTCATATGTTGAAGCCGTAACTCCTAATGTGATCGTATTTGGAGATGTGGCCTTTGGGAGATCACTAGGTTTAGATGAGTTCAAGAGGCCAGGGCTTCATAATGGGATTAGTGTCCTTATAAGAAGAGGAAGAGACATCAGAGCTCTCCCCCAGCCCACCACGGTTGAGAACACAGTGAGAATGCAGCCACCATCTATAAGCTAGGAAGAGCATCCTCACTAGAAAAAGACCATGCTGGTAGTGTGATCTCAGAAGTATAGCCTCCAGGACTGTGAAAAAATAAATTTCTGTGTTTAAGCGCCCAGTACAAGGTAGTTTGTATTGGCAGCCCAAGCAAACTGAGACAAACACAAATTATCATCTTACAGTTCTGGAATCAGAAGTCCAAATGAGTGTTATAGTCAAGGTATCTAGCAAAGCTACATCCCTTCCAGAGGCTCTGGGGGAGAATCTGTTTCCTTGCCTTTTCCAGTTTCTAGAGGCCACCTGCATTTCTTGGCTTGTGGCTCTCTCCAGTGCCTACAAAGTACATTCTCTGTCCTTTGCTTCCATCATCACTTACCTTCTCTGTCTTCTGACCTTTTGCCTTGTAGCCCTTTGATGACATTGGGTCCACCTAGACAGCCGGGATCACTCCCCAACTCAGCATTCTCTTAATCACATCTGTGAAGACCATCTTGCCATGTGAGGTAACATAGTCACTGATTAGGAGTTAGGGCATGAACATCTTTGGGAGGCATTACTCAGCCTACCACAAGAGGTAAAGCAGGCAGCAGCAGAACTTCTTCACACTTAATCCCTAAGTATCACGATTGTTGTCAATGAACTGGCATTCACTGAAGACCACATATTCCTCGGTACATGTGGATATAAATGAAAATTCAAATCATACAATTATATATAGCTACTATAGAAAAACATATATACTATACAAAAACGATATATACTATATATAACCGCTATAGAAAAACTATAGAAAACCTCGATATGTTGGAAAATTTGGAAACTTCATGTAAAATTTGCCTCATGAAATTTTTATCTGCTTGTTTCCTTTAAAACAGGTAGGTAAGCCAACAGCAGCTACGAGTTTAGGTGCTAGAGTCAAAGAGTTTTAAAAGCCAACTTCACTTTCTGTGTGAATCTGAACAAGTTACTCAGCCTCTCTACATTTCACTTTTGCTTCTTTATAAAATAAAGAAAATAGTAGTGTCTGCCCTACTGGGCTGTGGTAAGACCATGCCTAACTCCCATGGAGACTTTGGAGGCATTCAGTAATTGTGAGCTCTTATTATTATTATTGCTAATTATTGGCTCATCTTCTTTTTGAGAAGAGGGGCTTGTCTAATAAGCCCTAAATGCTGAAAATTTCTTTCTGAGCTGTCATACTGGAGTGTGACCATTTATTTCTGGATTTCTCACCAAGTGAGTAGGATTGATAAGATTGTTGACAGAAAGAGTGAGGTTTTCGGGATGACTCTGAAAATGTGAGAAGCAGTTCATCAAAAATAATAAGAACTTTCATAGCAATAAATGCAATGTCATATATTTAGGAACAGAAAAATGTATCTTTATGAATACGAGATGGGGAAAGACTGATAGAATATACCAGAGTGGATCACAAATGATAGAGGCTCATAAATATAAGTGTGATATTATTTAAACAGATATGCCACTTCTTTAAATGCTAGCATAATATTTAGCTATGCTACCAGCAGTAAGATACAATTAGAAAGTAATTTTAGGCTGGGTGTGGTGGCTCACACCCACAATCCCATCACTGGGAGGCTGAGGTGGAAGGACCACATGAACCCAGGAGTTCAGGACTATCCTGGGCAACATAGTGAGACCCCATCTCTACAAAAAAAATACACAAAAATTAGCCAAGTGTGGTGGCATGCACCTGTAGTCCCAGCTACTAGGGAGGCTAAGGTGGGAGGATTGCTTGAGCCTGGGAGGTCGAGACTGCAGGGAGCCGTGATCGCACCACTGTGCTCCAGCCTGGGTAACAGAGCAAGAGCCTGTCAGGAAAAAAAAAAAAAAAAAAAAGAAAAAAGAAAAAGAAAAAATAATTTTTTGTCAAGTTCTATCTAACTTATATAATAAAGAATTTGGCCTTTGTCCTGATTCCTAGGAGGGAGACTACATCCTTGGCATTTCCTAAGTAATAGGAGCGTCTCTGTAATTCATGGTGGGCCCCTGTATGGTTTCAGGGTGGGGGCTGGCCAAGCTAGATAAGCCAACCATGGGCTTAGAGAGTCAGGGCCTTGAGCCAAGTGAGGTCAGCATACGGCCAGTGGTTCAGTCAGTCATGACTATGTAATGAAACCTCAATAGAAACCCTGGGCAGTGCAGCTTCTGGGTAGTGAACACGTTGATGTAATAAGGGGGTGATGCATCTTGAGCACATGGAAGCTTTGCCTTTGGGGCCCTTCCAGACCGTCCCCTGCTGTCCCTTCATTTGGCTGGTCCTGAGTTGTATCCTTTCTAATAACACTGTCATTACATGACTATTGTGTCCTGAGTTCTGTGAGTCATCCTAGCAAATTATGAAACTTAAGGTGGAGACCCCTCAGGTTTATAACCAGTTGGTTATAAGTGCAGGTGACCTGGGGACCCGCAAACCGGGGCTGGTGCCCGAAGTGAGGGCTGTCTCGTTGGGGATCATGCCCTTCAGTCTGCAGAGTCACTTCCTAACTCCAGGTGGGTAGCAGCAGAATTGCTTTGCAGTTTTACACTAACACATAGAGGAAAATGAAAGGGTGTCCAGAGATCTAAGTTAATTAATTTTTTTATTTTAACTAAAATCCAACAAATGGCTTTTGAAAGAGTTAAAATTATTTGACCTAAAATATAGAGTTCCATTAACAGCATTTGAGCCAAATTCCAGCATTTGAGAAACTTGGATATTTCTTAATGACTAGATTGAAGGTTAGCCCTAAATTAGAGGTTTGTGAAAAAGGAGAATTCTGACAGAAGCTCTTTTTCTCTTACCTGAAGTAATGAAGTCATCACCTGCAGGTCTTATTGTTCCCCTTCCATTGCTAGTGTAATATCAGAAACTACCTCTTTCTTGTAACTATTTCCAGGCAGATCTTCCCAGACATTTCTGCCAGGAAACCCCAGGATAGTAAAGCCTGTGAATGAATTGATGCATACCTCTTAGGAACCAACAAAATGCCCCCAGAATTAAGCCATTCATGTGCTACTGCCTCCCTTTAACTCTTGTCCCATTGCTTTTTAATTTTGAAGAAATTGAAGAATCTATTGGAGTACACAGTACGCGTAAGACATCCTTTACCTGTGCAATTCTGCCCTGCATTCTTTAAGCCTGCCTGTTCCTCCACCTCCCTGGTCTGAACTCTGGATCGCCCTCCCGACTGTGGCCTTGGTCGGCTCCCAGTCTTTGCCTCTGTCTCCCTTACTTGTGACTCATGGTTTCCTCTCTGTGCCTGTTTCTGGCTTGCTTGCCAAGCCTTTCCTCATTGCCTGTCTAACCTCCACATGTTAATATTCCAATTTGACATCTGGGCGACTGAGAGCAAGGGTGAGCAACCTGCCAAGGCTGCACGGTGGGCAGTGGCAGGTCTGGGCTCCCAGTCTGCCTGTCTCGGGTTGCCTTCTCCACACTCTCCCATGCCACCTCCCACTAGCCGCACCTCCAGCACCAGGCGGAGGTCCACATTTCAGTCCTGTACACACTCCTCTTTGAAAAATGATGCATTTGCCAGCAAAACCTTAGGGTTAAAAAGTTTACAAAAGTGTGTGTGTCCCACAAAAAATATTCCAAACAAAATCCCCTCTTTTCTGTATTTACGCATTTCAGGCAGCTTATGAAATTGATGTGGGCTTTGTTTCTACTCTGCAGTCTGAATTCTGTCTTTGGTGTCCAGGAAAATGTTTTTATACCTTCTTCACATTAAAAATGTTTCAAGTATCCAGGACTTGTTCGCTCTCCTTTTTCATGTATTTAGATGAAGAGACTTTGCATATTAATTTTGTTGTTTAAAAAAGAGTCAAACCAATTGATACTAAAATTAAAAAGCTAACAATTTAGATCCAACAGAACATTTCAAGATCTGTTTTTTCCCTTACTGTAAGTGAAATTCCCATTAATGGCAGCCAGGCCTGAACACCGATAGTGAATGGGGCCTCTCGTGTTCTGAGATGGACTTATCACATGGTTAGCAGCTGGGATTTATGTGGAGACTCATTAAATAAAACAGCAGTGGCAGCTACCTCCTGCTGTAGTACACTTGGAGGTACAGTACCTGAATTTTTCCAATCCTAGCTGGTCCTTTATACTTTGTTTTATGTCTCGCTCATTTTTCTGACTGGTCTTGACATTTTCTGACCTCACAGTGCTTTTATTATTATTTTTATTGCTACTAGAACAATGATAACTCATGACTCTGATTTATATGATGGCAGCTTAGCCAGGGGAGAGATTAAGGCATACCCAAAAACATGCAGTAAATGTTCAAGTCTATTAGCCTTTCGCTTTTATTAAGTGGGAAACTTTAGTTTTGTTTTGACACAGATGAGTCTGGAGAGTCATGAGTGGCTGCGGGGCTGAGCTTGCTGATGGGCCCTTGGCTGTGGGTACGCGCTGGCAGAGTGGCGCGAGGCTGTAGGTACGTGTGAGGTGGCTCATGGTCACAATCCTGCAGTCAGCTCACTCACTTCCGTTGTACATTTTGAGTAACTGGTAGTCATTCTTTTGTTCTTTTCTTTTCCACTGTAATCATAGTTTTCAACTTACTGCAGTGATAAAAAAAAAAACCACAAATTACTGACAGATTTCCTTGATTTTAATAATTTCGCTATACAACTGTCTCATTTAGGAGATGCCACAGCTCCTGCTCTCATAACCAAAACCAGGCTCCTGGGAGTGTGGGCAGCATTGCTTCGAGCTTCCAGGCCCAGAGACTTTTTCAGGCCTCTGTTGTGCTCAGTCTGTAGGGAGGAGACTGCCCAGCGCCACTCCAGGTAGTGCCTGAACCATCACAAACTCAGGGCCAGAGTTCAGTTCATTTGGCCCCAGTGTGTGGCCCCAGCCTGGGATGCTGAGGTCCCCTCCTGCCCATGAAGCCTCTGCTATGCTTGCTCAGGCTGTGCGAGGGGCTTGTCTTAAGTCTTTGCATCCTATTCCCAGAGACTGGAGTCCCACTCTTTCCCTGGCCTGCTGGCCTTGGTTCTTACTGGTGCTTGCCCATAGCCAACCCTGCTTCCTGTGCTGCTTCCCTCAGCCGAGGCTCTAGACCTCCTGGATGCTTTTTACTGAGGCATTGCATTTCCATCTTTCTGGATCACAGTTATCAACCTCATTGATGGCTGCAATTTAATGAATTTTGGTGATGAACTGAATTGAACTGTAAATGATAAAACATTTTCATGGAGTTATTAAAATCACATCATTCTGCATAGATTATATGACCTTGAGCTTCACTAGAAAGACTTTCCAAGACCTTCACCGTCTCCAAATTCTCGGACGGCACTGGAATATCACGCTGAAGCAGCAGCACGCTGGTTTTACGTGAATTTTTTTTTCCTTTACCGCTGTCATATTTAACATCTCACTCCTTAATATTTCAGATTTCTGACTAAGAACCATCTCTGCTGAGCCTCTTCTCCTCCTCCATCAGCACTTGCATTGGAATTTATTTCCAGGAGCATTTTTCACAAAGGAAATGTCATCCCTTCTTGGGAGTAAGAGGGTGCTGAATGGTGCGCAGAAAATGAGCACTGCTGAAGCTCACAGAGATGAGCTCTACCAAGCCACTATGGCAGATTATGCTCTAAATACGACCACATTGGAGTCCCACATGCTCTTCCAGAGCCTTGCTACCCCCATCAGGAGATGGAGCCTCCTTCCCTGCCGAGGATGCTGGGCAGGATGGTCATGGCTGCCCAGATGAAGAGAAGACAGGGCTGGTGCTGAGGCAGGTCGTGGCAGGCAACACTGCCCCACCTGACTTGCTCTCGTGGGATCTAGTCATTGTCCTGGGAGGATGCCCAAGGGGGCCCACGTGGCGAGGGCTGCGTAGAAGGGCCTGGAGGTCAGCACTGACCTCCAGACATAGGAGTGAACGGCCTTTCCAACAAGTACAGCTGCCAGCTGTGGAATCTCCCAGCTCAGGCCCCAGACAACACCTCTGTCCAAATTGCGGGCCCAAAGAATTCATGACCATAGGAAATGGTGGTCTTAAGCTACCAAGTTTTAAGGCAATTTGTTCTTGCTACTTGTTAGAATTTTTCTTGACCTACCATCTAGAGCTCTTTTTTATTTTTTACATTCCATGCTGAAGATTTATTAAGAGCACAAATAAAAACACGTTTTTATTTTGTTTTTCAATTACTAACCACCTAGATTTGTTATAGCAAGACAAAGAGCTTCATGAATTATATACATAACCCTGTTTAGGTAATATAACTCTCTGTTAGAAAATAATGGGTCAACTTCTTAGACTTTGAGGTGTTACTATAGCTTTATCCAGCAGTTTTATGTTGATTCTTGCCCTGTTAGACTAAAAAGCCACCTTTTATCCTTTCTTTGAGAAAAATTTGTTATAGCACAGATTGTTTCTGCATCAGAACTATTCTTGAAAATTCTCTAAGTAACTTTTTCTTCATATTTTATGAATAGTAATGTTCAAAACTAATTGTGCAGTAGTTCAATTAATTGTGCAATTGTTGGTGTTCTGCAGTGCTCCCTCAGTCAGATCCGCAAAGGCATAACAGTTGTAGCTTGGAGAATGACATCAGTGCACTTTACACATAAGCAAAGGAAGGAAGCTTGCTGCTGGGTGGTCAGCCTTAGTTCAGTGTTCCATCCAAAAGAAGCATGAGCCAGCCACACTGTGAAGCATGGGAAAATGGTTTTATTCTTTTCTGCAGTCTCTAGAAGAAGTGGCATAAGGGTGTCAATCACATGACCCAGAGCAGTAAGTCCAAAAGTTTCTCTACCATCCATCTCCCCAGATGTCTCCAGATTTGTTTTATCCCTCTCAGCTCCAGACTTTGCTCTGACATCCGGCCAAATCTGCTGTCTCCTCTCTCCCCTCTGGCTCTGGCCTCTGCTCTCCTTCCCGCCCCGGGTAGTCCTGGGATCAGGCAAACCGAACATCCTCAGGCAGGGGAAAGGGAAGGAGTTTTGCGAAAATTTTCTTTTTTTTTTTTTTTTTTTTTTTTGAGACGAGTCTTGCTCTGTCACCCAGGCTGGAGTGCAGTGGCGTGATCTTGGCTCACTGCCACCTCCACCTCCCAGGTTCAAGTGATTCTCCTGCCTCAGCCTCCTGAGTAGCTGGGATTACAGGTGCCCGCCACCACACCCAGCCAATTTTTATATTTTCAGTAGAGACGGGGTTTCACCATGTTGGTCAGATTGGTCAAGATTATCAAACTGACTTTTCAGTTCTCTGTCCCATATTATTATACTCAGAAATCTTTTTAAATGGACAAAAATAAATAGCCCACCTATAACATACAAATATTACTTTTATTACAACAGATTTAATTTCCTAATTTTTTTTACTCCTGTTAGGGCCTTAACTAAGGCCTTCAGTGAAGTTGAGACATGTTCATGGTTTGGGGTTTTTTTAGGCTTGTTCATCTTGTGTCACAACCTACTGAGTTATCACAAAATCCAGGGCTTGCATAGACCCAGGGGCAAGGGACAGGGCTTCATAGTCACCCAGAGTAACCTTCACATCGCAATGTTGTTTCTGTCACTAAGTACAAAGAGCCTCATGGCCTTTTAGTATGTGTATTTGAAGCTTATTAATGTGAATGAGCAAGCTTCCTTGTCAGATAGCTTATACCTACTGAATGTTTTCAAATTTCTCTCTACCTTGTTATTTTCAGTAGTAATAAAATTACCACCTCTTAAAATAGCCAAGTATTTATTGTAGCAATGTTATCACTACCTATGTAAAACATCATGGCTTCTCCTAAGGAACAAGGAAAGGTTAAATTTATTCAGTGTGCATTTTATTATTTTGATTCACTAATTTTATTCAGATTCTATATTGCAAACAATAAGAGAATCGTGCTCCTCCATTTGGATTGTCTTTGATGTGTGGATCCTGACTTCAGTGTTTGTCTGATACTTGAGTCAGGCATTAGGGATACAGTGGTCAACGAAGCACCATACTTCCATACTTCCCTCAAGGGATGTATAATTTTGCGGGACATGCCCAAGTAAATAGATTATTAAAATATCAGAGCCCATTAAGACTTGCACCTGCACCCCGTGGAACCTCAGGAGCAAGATCTCCCAAAGGAAGGGATATCAGAGTCTTTAAGTTGAGTGATTAAGTCCTGTTTGAGGTTTGGTGTTAAATAACTTGTTCAGAATTCAGCTCCCCAGTTACTCCCCTAGTTATACCAGTTTCTTAACCTTCTCCTCTCTCCTCTCCTCTCCTCTCTTTGGCAAGGTCTCACTCTGTTGCCCAGGCTGGAGTGCAGTGGCGTGATCTCTGCTCACTACAGCCTTGACCTCCCAGGCTCGAGTGATCCTCCCACCTCAGCTTCCAGAGTAGCTGGGACCACAGTTGCATGCTAACATGCCCGACTATTTTAAATTTTTTTTTGTAAAGATGGAGTCCCACTATGTTGCCCAGGCTGGTCTCAAACTCCTGGGCTCAAGCAATCCTCCCACCTCAGCCTCCGAAAGTTTTGGGATTACAGGCATGAGCCACCACACCCAGCCTCTGTGATCCTTTCTTGACAGAGAAATAATAATGCCTCCTTTACAACGTTATTCTGAGAATTAGACAAGTTCACACCCAAGTATGGGGTAGTGCCTGGCCCACAGTGGACATTTAGTCAAATTATTTTATAAGTGTTTTATTTCATTTTGATCTATGTTCTCATTTCACCCGTACTTATTCCTTCCTAACAACTTCCTAATATTTGCCTTTGCCAAGAGTGAGTTAAAATCAGTAAGCTCTAAAAATCAGCCAGTTAGCCATGAGGCATGTCTATCCAAAGTCTCTTTATAAAGAGCATTCATCCTTCTATGGGTAATACGAAATTTGTGTTTGAAGATGGTCCCATTTTCTCTAAATTCAGGTTTTTATTAGTCCTAACAAAGTTGGTCTTAAGGCTTGGACTGGAAAGATATTATTAAAAGATTACAGATTTGAAGCTTCTTGTGGCCTCTGATGAGATAATAAAAATGTTATCTATTTGTCCTTACTCAAGATAAATAAGTAAATGAATGTTCACAGAGCTTAAATTGTAGATGAGTGTGTTTGGTTATGGGCATCTGGAAACAGTGACTCCTACAGTACACCTATGTTTAGGCTTATTGGTTTGGTGTTTTATTTTTCCTTCATGCTTTTTAAATACATGTAACTGGGTCTTTTGCTAGAAATATATTTTGGGCTAAGTTGGTATAAGGTAGTAAATGAAAGAATTGGACCAAATTCTGTGAGTCTGGACTAAACTGGGTCAAATTCTCTTTCTTCCATGCAGTTTCAATAGAATTCCATTGAATTAATTTTACTCATCATAAAATCAGTTGTATTTCAAGCCTGCTTCAAGACTCTCAGATCCTTTTGATCCAAGCACAACAGCCTGTTGCTGTGCAGTCTGTTGAACTTGGCGGCGAGGTGTAGGGACCGGGATTTGTGTTTGAAGTTAGCCCACTTTACTCCTGCTCGTCAATATTTCAGGACAGCTGGGATTCTCTAAAAATCAGTTTTTGCCAAAAAAAAAAAAAAGTTGGTTTGAGAGGATTGCACCAGTTCTATATTATTATTCCTACAATACTGTAAAATTGTACAAAGGCCCCCATGACCATTAAGAATATTGGAATATGGTGACTCATCTTTCAGTACTAAGTTGAAAGGAAAGGAAGTTATGACCAGCAGGGTTCATTTCAGAGGATATTCACAGCGGGATGTTATTCTCCCGGCTGACAATTCAGAGGGCTTAAGGCCATGTGTGGAAGAGCCATCACCACATTTGATTTGAGGTGGCCTCACCTGGGTGTGAGGGTGCCAGGGAGACAGCAGAGGGGAGTAGGCCCTAGAGTTCAGGCTTCACACGCAGGCACTCAAGCTCATCAGGCCCAGTGGGAGCAGTGGCCTGAGGAAGTAGGCAGAAGGCTCGGCAGAGTCAGCTTGAGGAGCAGAGGGCTAGAAGCCCAGGCCAGGGCCCAGAGTAGCACAACAGCAGAAACCCACGCCAGCGAGAGTAAGCAGCGAGAGCCCAGGAGCCGGGCAGCAATCTGCACACTGGGCAAGGACCACCAGCAGCAGCAGGAACACAGCCCATTCTGAGCTCTGTCCTTCACCCGGGACCTGAACCAGCAGCAAGGACACCTGGAGGAAGGACCACGAAGGCAGGGAGCCAGGCAGAGCTGGAGACCCCTTCGTGAGGCCTGCCTTGGTTCCCTGAAACACAAGGCCATTTTCTTACTGTTGGTCAGCAAAGAGCTTTTTCTAAACAGCAAGCTGTCATGTGCCTTCTCGGTGTCCTTCGTCTTGCAATCGTGTTTTCCCACTTAAGGCGAGCGCTTGGGATTCGATGCTTTTACAACACAGATTGGTTTTTGTCGAACTGCAACAGTTTCAGAGAAAAACTCGCTCCCCACAGACCAGTCTTCAAACTCAAACTGTGTTCAGAATGAGATGTGAAAGGAAAAGGAGAAGGGAAATCTGGTTCTAGTTTTTAAAATATAAGTTTGGTTCCTTGATGTAATTTGTAAATCCTGGGTTACAGTTCAGTCTCTCTGATTAAATGGAATCATCACCTTGGTGTATAACAAAGCAAAACAAGATGGCGAAGTTCTTCTGAGTCTGACATCTCACCAGGCACTAGGACTCCTGTGATGGCGTGAGCGAGCCCTGCAGCCTGGGGAGGTGGCAGTGAGCCGTTGCGTGTTGATGCTGCCGGCACCTGGGCAGGAGACGGGCAGAGGATGGGCAGAGCAGCGCGGGAGCCAGCTCCTGGGCCTGGCACCCAGCAGCCCCGCTCTCCTCAGGCAGGCAGAGAGGCTGGGAAGCAGGAGGGGAAGGAGAGGGTTTATAACTGACCAAAAGGCTCCTGGTGCTGCAGACAGGCAGAGAGGTGGAGGCCCTGCCATGCCGTCCTCTCCCAGGCCAGCAGAGGAAGCGCTCTCAGGAAGCTGTGGGGACACCGTTGCCACTGCATGAGTAACCCATAATAACAGTAGTAGTTGCCATTTATTGAATACATTCTGTGTGTCTTCTAGCATCCTTGGTACTGTAATTTAACCCCTAAAAGAATCTCTGTGGCACTACATGGTAGTATCATCATTTTACAGATGAGAAGACTAGGGCCTGGAGAAGTGATTTGCCTGAAGTCACACATTGCCAAAGGATTAGAAATCATTATTTAGAAAACAAAACTTTTACTCATCAAACTTACTTATACAAAACACAATTGCCAGCATGTATCTTTACGTATAAGCCAGGGACAGGCTGCAAGCGGAGCAAGAGTGTCGGATTCACTTCGCTCTTTTTCGATTTGGCGTCCATTCCCCACTTTGAGTGAGGCGTGCTCACGGTGGCTCCTGGCCTGAGAGAGCTGTTGGGTGGGATGTGTCCTCAAAAGACTAAACTCAGAACTGGACCACACTGTGCCTTTGGTGGCCTTCAGCCAACCGAGGCAGGATTTGGGAAAGGTGATTCTCTCCAGCAGTTTTGGTACCAGCCTGGCTGTGTCTGGTGTTCACTAAAATATGCCTGATATGACAGTCACAGGGCCGACTTCCACTCCGCTCTGTGCACTCGAAACACAGACACTTCGCTCAGTTACGTCTGTGGCCTTCAATGAGTTAAAGAAGAAATTGAATTTGGTCAGTGTTTTTTTCATTTTACCACTATCAGTTAGAGGGACAGGTTCGCATCCATGATTGAGTCATGCTTGTGCAGCTGCTTATACGCTGTTCTTGGGAGGGGATGGGAAACACAAGAGCGCTTTTGGGGTCATTTCCTATCAGAGGACATTCGTTTTCACACAGACGCACACTCATGGAGGACATGAGGATTGTCTCTGCAGGGGTCACACGCATTGTTTCTCGCTGGAAAATCGCAGACTCTATCAAAAACTTTCCTTCCAGAGTCATTGTCTCTAGAAGCTTCTCAATTCACACACAGTTACCTTTATCTGTGGTGGCAGTTGGAGGCAGAGGGCCCAGGTAGAGTCCCAGGCTGTTAATTCACCTGATCTGTGACCCTGGGCATTGGCAAATGCATCAGGATGCCACAGGAGCACTTCCAGCTCCAGAAGCAGGATACTTCCCCCGGCCAGGAGGCTGTGTTAGTGGGACTGGGCTAGAATGGTCAGAACTGGGCCTGGGCTCAGAGGGGAGCATCAGGGGATGAAAGACCCTCCTCTGAAGTTTCCAGTAAGTGGAGCCTTGGACAGAAAGTCCTCCAGCATGACCCTGAGAGGGCTGCTGGAGGAAGGCTGTCCTCGTACCCAGAGGCATGTGGACGGTGGTGATCACATCTGGTCTGATTTCTAAACAGAGTACAGCTCATTTCTCTTGAGACCCCCACTTGAGCGCTCCCTCCTCACTCCCACCCCAGCCAGGACTGGTCCAGGGATCAGCATGGGAGGCCACGCCAGCACTGCGAGATGATGGGGTAGGCCTTTGAAGGGCCAGACACGGCAATAAGAAACCTGAACCAGGAGGGCAGCAGGGGTGTTGGGGTTGGAAAAACATTTTCAGGCGTATTTCTGCTATAAGAGAAAAAAAAAACAAGAAAATGCAAGGGGCCAAGTTCTGACTGCAGAGCTGGTACAGTCCTGGCCCACACTGGTCAGGCTGCTGCTGTCGACGAGCTTTGAGGTCTGAGCTGCAAACGTCAGCAGGCTTTTTCCTGGCTGGCAGGAAGGGAAAGTTCCCTCCAGTGACAGACAAAAATAATGGATTTGGGGCAAGTCTAGGCCTTCAGAGGTTATAGTGAAAATTAATGGAGGGCCACGTTAACTAATGTTACTCTAATCCTGCAGTTCGAGACATTGGGCTAAATTTCTGTTTTATGGCATGTTTTACAAACTAACCTATTTTAGATCTTGGAACACTCCAGGCTGGAGTAAGTTCCAGGTCAGGAAGGCTGCCCCCTCCTCTTGAATTCCACAGTTCCTTGGCCACTCCTCAGCACAGTGCCCGCCGTTCCACTCGTCTGCTGTCTCCACTGAACCTTTAACATCAGCTCATTTATCTTTCAGGTGTTATAATAATTGACTTCAATCAGTATTCCATTATCCTAAACAGGCAATTATCCACATTGTCACTTTTGCATTTGCTCTTTTGACCTAGGGGTCACAGAGGCCCTAGTGTAACAGAATCCAGCAAAGTTATTCCCTTACCTGTCATATAAATAGTCATCCCAGCAAAATGAGACCCAAGGGCGCTTTTCGTGAGGTGTTGAGAAGGCCAGTCTAACTCGATCCTTTATTCAGCTCTTTAAGGAATGCAGTACTGTTTTGGCACTCTATCAAAATAAAACAAAGTTCCATTTTTCAGCTTCTTTTTTTAATGCGTGCACCCCTGAGCTTACAAATGCTTCTTTGTGGCCCTCTTTATTGAAATTTCCATTCAGCTCTTCCATCTGTTAGCTGTGTTTACCTCTATTTCTAGGGAAAGAATTCAGCATTTCACCTTTATTTGGGGTGTAAGGTCATAAAACTGTCTGGATTATTTCAGCTATATTTATACCAAACTTAATATTGCTTCTTTAACAGGTTTAAAGCTTTTAATTCCCTGGTTCGTTATTCATGGTGAGCCGTCTGCTGAGAACAGTTTGCATTTTATAATGGAGAAGGTACTTTATACCCTCTTGCTATCCCTCCATCCCCCGAAGAAGAAAGTGTTCCACAAATGTGAATTTCATCCAAAGATCATCTAATTTAAACTCTAGTTCTATTCCCTACACATGCCTGCTGAATGCACATAATTGCATTTCAGGAGCAGAGACGTGTTCAACATTCTCCTTTTTCCTAGAAATATTGATGTCATTACAATCTCGGGAAACTCTTTTCAGAGTGATGGTGTAACACACACTGTTGAAATGGAGTCTCCAGATGGAGCTGGTGTGTGTGTGTATTTTCTTAATTTTTCAAAATAAAGTGACTTCAGCCTTCAGCAGTAAATCTGGAAGTATATCAAGAAGAAATATAGAAATAACATAAAATAAAAATATAAGCAGATTAGTTTTCTTTCTAGAATTGCCACATTTAAAAAAATATCACACATCCTCCGAAGCAACATGAACATTAAGGAAGCAGTGTGGAATAGTGGAATGAACATTACCTTTGAAGTGGACAGGATCTCCAGGCTGCCTAGGAGCTGTGCTATGTAGGCGCAGCAGCGCGTCTCCCCTCCATGTCTTCTGCCACCCAGCAGGAGCCACGTAACCTGTTTCACTGCCGGCGTGAGGATTAGGGGTATGGCCCATGCCCATATGGTGCCTGGCACACGGTAGGCATTCATCAGTGAGGGGCTTTATTATCATTATGCCAAATTTTACAGGGTAAAATGTGCCTAGAATTAGTGTCTAAAGCCGTTTGTTTTCACACTCATGATTATCTAACACCTCATCTATCATCTGGGACCTCTGGCCAGATCCCCACCTACAGATGCTCTTGTTGTTGCTTCCTTAGTTGATGAGGTTTGGGCCACATCCCCCCAGGACTTGGCAGATCTTGGGGGAGAAGAGTGTCAGTCTTCACCCGTATATCTGCGCATTTCCTGTTTAATGGTCTTTCAGGGCAGGCAAGCTAAGTGCCCAGATAGAAAGGAGCAAAATCAGTGCTTTGAAAATTTACTTAGAGGCAGGTTTCGATGGTGTAAATCTGAAACAGAGCCTAACAGTCCACATATTTCACTCTCAAGTGATGCCCACAGACCTTAATTTTTTTAGGGACAAGGTCTTGTTATGTTGCCCAGGCTGGAGTGCAATAGTGCAATCATAGCTCACTGCAGCCTCCAACTCCTGGGCTCAGAGTGATCCTCCTGAGTAGCTGGGACCACAGGTACATGCCACCATGCTCAGCTAAATTTTTTTTTTTTTTTCTGTAGAGACAGAGTCTTGCCATGTTGCCAAGGCTGGTATCAAACTCCTGGCCTCAAGTGATCTCCATGCCTCGGCCCCCCAAAGCACTGAGATTACAGATGTGAGCCACCACACCTGGCCCCACAGACCATTTTTTGAAAACCAAGGATTTAATATTCCAAAAATTCTGTGTGGGACATAATTCTTCGTAATAATGGCGATGCCTTAGATTTAACGAAATCTTAAATGAAAATTCTATGTATTTTTGCATCGTTTGTTCAAAGAGAGGCAGCAACTGTCCTCTGACTTTCCAAACTCGATGGAAAGAGAAATGGTCTTTATTCACTGCCCTCCCATGAATGGTTGAGAAAACTCTGTGTCTTCTTGAGCCTGGTGTATAGTCAACTCCGGATTCTGAACGGTCACGGCTTTCGTTGGAGGTTGATGCAGGCACTGAGTCTCTGAGTCCAGCTGGCTGCCCGTGTCATTCCACGACGGTAGCAGTGCAGAGGTTGTGCTAGTACAGCACAGGAGGGGACAGGACACCCATTGTATTGCTCAGTAGAATATTATCATAAAACCCCACATACCTCCCATCTCCCTTTTTTTATTTCTCAAAAATAAACTTTTCTTTTTTCACAATAAAGACAGAAAAGAATAAATGTTCATTTTAGAGAATTTAGAGAACTTGAAGAAAAAATAACTATTATGTAAAGACAGCCATCTATTACTCATATTTTTGAAAAAGTGTAGGATAATTTCTCTGTATTTCAAAGAACCGTGTTTTGAACTCCAAGCCACAGAAGTTTCTAGAAGAAAAACAAAAAACTTTCATTGCATTTCACAGCAACATGGAAACTATCTGGCAAAACACTGCCTTTTTTATATCCCTGGATCCCTGGAGCAGGGCATCAGGCCAGCTGCAAATCGCTCTATATACACAGGCTTCAAAGTAATGTGTTTTGACCCCTGCTAAACATGAGGTCAAGGAAGGTTCAAAGTATAGTGGGTCCAAGCACATCATGTCCAGTGAGAGTGCCACTCTTACAGACATCTTTGATTTGTATACTTGTGGTAATTTTCTGGCAAGTGACAGTAAAGTGTTTTATCGTAAGAATCAACATATTAATAGAGTTTTTCAACAGAGTAAAAGGAAAAGGCACCTTCCTCTAAGACACTCAAAAGATGCCTTTGAGCTAGCAGCCACCCTGTAGAATTGGTGGTGGTTATGCAGTGTTTGTCTTTTAATATTTGCATCGTTTTGGCTCTTCCAGTATCTCCAAATACCATGCAGATAGAAAGGAAGATGTTGTATGAGTAAAGAAGATGAGTAGTGGGGTCTTACCAAGGTTGTCCATAAAACTCCCCACCTTCAGCCATGCATGCGCTTGCTAGCATAATTCTCCATCTCTTCTCTAGAAGGCTTGGTATTTCTGAAGAACTTCATTCCTGGGTCCTTGATTTATTATTACTTTTCCTGTCAATCATATTAGCTGTTACAGATTTTATTAAGTTGTTGTCTCTAACAGACTTGTCTTTCGGAATCAGCCAAAGACAGGAGGCCATCGAGCAGGCTCCGCTTGGAAATTTCTCATCCCCTTCAACTCCCCCTGGAATGGACATTCCTCGCTAGTCAGCCTGGCCTTGCCTCTGATGAACTGCCCACCTTCAGCTCTCTGAAACTCAGTTCCCTTTCCTCAATCTCCAGTCTTCTGATCCCTGAAGTTACATGCCACACTGATTCAATCAGATGACTGCAGTGATGACTGATGAAAGTTTGCTTCTTTATAACCACAGAGGAGAGTTTTGGAAGCTGTTCCTTTAGGTGAAGTCGTTTCCACCCCAACATGAGTTAGCATGCCTTTCTGCACATATGTTTTCAATGTGACTGTAGCCTGAAACATCTTTCCTGGATATTTGGTGAGACAGACAGAAGGACGAGTGTGTGCATTCTTGTACATGTTTGTCTGTGTGTCTGCACATTTACACACAATCATCATTTGGGGATGCTGATGGGCCCTAATCCACTTTAATAACACAGTGAGAGATTGCCTCATGCTTTGCTTTATAAAATATGAAAACTATCTGCAGCTGTGAAGGAATGACCCTCATAATTCATCTGAGAGCCTGCCCCTCTTCCTTGTGGGATATACTCCATATCTCATATCAACTCATTGCTCTGAGTGTCCTCCACAGATGCAGAAAGATCCTATGATAGATGCTGTGATTTCCGCAGCGGGGGTGGTTAGCCTGTGACATGTGAGTGATGAGGCACAAGTGAGTTACGAAGACAGTACATCTCTCCACACCAGATAATATACTGTCCTTTATTCTGCAGCTATGTTTATATGAACATTACAGCTAAGAAAAGAGATGAGGGAAGTAGAATTCTTATGGTTTTGATTCATTTATTTATAAGGCCTTGCCTCTGATATAGTCAGCACTCTTTGGGAATTTTTTAAGGAGCAACAATGGTCATCACTTTCTTCTTTCAAGATTTTCTTCAATTAATTTTTGTACGTCATGTTTGGCTTCAAATAGTTTGTCATTTCTGTGCTTTAAATTAAAGCTACTACTCAAAATTCAGTTTAGTTCCTGTTTTTCAAAAATGTACAGTGTATAGTGGTTTGAACTTTTGACCCAATAGTAAATGTTTGAAGTCTGAGATACTCATAAACTGTTAATGGATTTGATATTTCTTAAAAACAAGTCTACACCCTTTCATGTGAAACTCTCCTGGGTGCTTCCCAAGGAGACTGAAATCTTGATTAACTCTTTCCTTCTTGGAATAAGATATAATTACCTCCACGGTAGTTTCTTCCTTGCAAATCCTCTCAAGAGGAGTGAAACGGTTAGAATTCCTGTGTCAGACACTCCCCAAGGAGAACTGGGCCAGTCCATCTGACAGCCATCGATGCTGCTCAGCACAGGCCTGTTTCCGAGCCAGTCGAGCCCTTCTCTGGCCCACTGTGAAGCTGTCACACCACACGTGCTCAGATTTCCCTCCGATGTGCACGCACCTGCCCAAGGGCAGCCCTCTTCCTCCATGAGTGTCACTCTGCAGGTTGTAGTCCCCAGGCATCCCCAACCACTTTGTGAAACGATTTAGCACCAACATGTATTTCATGCCTAACACTTCAACATTGCTGAGCGCTAAACATTCTAAGCAGTGGTCAGAGCTTTCGTTAATAACCTTGTTAAGAGAAGAGAGTTGTATTTAGAGAATTATTCAGTAAATGCTGTTACTTTCAAGGAATATCATAACTATTGAGAAAGACCTTGGAGAACCCAAATAATATAGATATTGCTCTCAAATAGTAGACTTCTCTTAAAGTTAAAAAAAAAAAAAAAAGAGGACCCTCTGTGCATTTTCTAACTGCCTTGAATGCATATAAAATGTAAAGGCCATGCTCTGTTTTTCCCCTTGAATTTCTGCTGCCTTTTTTCATCATCCAGTGAGTTAGTCTAAACCCTCCTTGCCAAGAGCCTCCTCTGTCCTTGCAGTTTGCTTTAACCCTGCCATTTGAGCCTCATGTTTGCAAATAGGGATTAGCAGGCTCTGTCATTCACAAAGTAAGAATATGATTTTACAATATTGGTTCCAGCTAATGACAGTTAACTGCTATTTTGCTCTGAAACATCCATTTCAGCTTAAGCATGAGGAATATTAAACAGGAACACAGAGGTAGTATTTTCAATAAAACTCTCTTTCTAGAAACTAGTTGTTGCTGACAAGCCACCACCTACAGAACAGTGGAGAGGAAGCGAAGCGACCCTGAGTCCATGCTTGTTTTTGTTTTTTACGTTTGGTGTCATCACGAACCCTGACCAGTTTTTCAGCCAGGCTTCGTCTGCAGTCATCAGCTGGTTTTCAAAGTTCTTATATGCCAGTCCCCACGAACGTATACTCCCCCGTGCTTTGCTAGTCTAGATAATCCAGCACATGATGGCAGATGATGTTGCACCCCAAACTTCAGTGGATGACCTCTGCATCTCTGTTCAAGCGTTTTTTACTTTAATTGAAGAAATAAGTAGAATTTGTAAAATGTCTAACCATTGTTGGATGCAGTTCCAGTACCCAGTGAAATCCTTTAATGGCCCCTTTTGGATTTGAAACTTGCCTTTTCTCTTTATGTGCAGATTCAAATGGAGGGGGTATGCCATGTTTTTCTCTGGGGATTAAAAGAAAGGACTCAGGAAATTATGTGCATCAGAATTTCTCCACACATACTACAAGCACTTTCCAATTATAAGAAACATGTTTTTTCTTTTCTTTAGCATATTCCTTCCTTGTCCTACCCTCAGGGGTTAAAAAAGAGAGAGCTCATGCATTGGATTTTGATTATGGTCTTCAATTCATTGTCTCCTTCTTCATTTTCCTTGTAACAGTAACTGAAAATAGCATGAGATTTTGGAGATTACAAAAGGGCAGTGTATACTTGGACACATTATTGTACTGTTTTCATAAATATCATTCTTCTAGTCCCTGTAAGCCCAGACCTCAGTAAGGCTACAGGTTTCCGCTCACAGGGCTGTTCTTTCTATTGCTGTTGGAAATTACACAAAAACCTTCTTTGCCTGCTCTTCCTTTTCTTTCTTAGACTCTAAAGTTTCTCCTGAGACTGATTGCCTCCTAGATATATGTTCGTGTTTCTCAGATAGCTCTTCTCTTCTTCCCCTTCTTGGATTTTTACAGTATTCATAGAGCTGAGCTTAAGCATCATACTGTACCAATAGATGCTGATAACGTAGGATGCTTTTCTGGCTGGACATATCAGATATTGTCAAACTCCAGCTTTCAGTTGGACCACTTCTTATTTCTGCACTGTGTGACTTTGACAGATCAGCGAACATCTCACAGGTTACAGTAAGATTTGCACAAAACTCAGAAATGTGTCATGAGGAACAAATGACATCTGCATGAAGGTGTTTTGCAAAACAGACAGTGCTGTGTAGCTGTAGGATGCATGCATCCAATTTACTCAGAGGAAATGGCATCATCAGTGCACACTATTGTAGCCACCATTGTATTGACTCACTACTATTTGCTTGGCACCGTTCCAGGCACTTCACACTCCTTTTCTTGTGCATTTTGTTTGGGCCTGCAAAGGAGGCATTGTTATCATAATTTTACAGCGGAGGTGACTTGCCAGCGTCACAGTCATTAAGTAGCAGAGCTGGGATTCAAACCAGAGTGTGTCTGAGGCCCAGGCCTTCCTCATGGTTTCTTTCAGCATCCTAAGTTAGGTTGAAGAGAGTGAGGAGGAAGAGAAGACAAAGAAACCCCCAGCACAGCCATCCTCAGTGGGATGCATCTGGAACTGAATATGATTTGTTTGACTGTCTGGAAGCTGACACGCTCCAGATTAATCACACTTTCAGGCTTAGATGGCTTCACTCCAAAAGAATATTGATATTTTAACACCAGGGAGGGGCTATTTTAGCATATTCTGTGTAAGAAATAAGTGACTATGCCTTATAAACATTTCACTTATTTAATTTATTTAATTTTAGTTTGTTTATATATCCTATGAAGACATGAATAGCTCATTATTTTACATATATCAAAAATATCTGGGACTGCCTGAAAATGGAAATTAAATAACACTTTTCATAAACTCACAGTCAGAGCTCCATGCTGCAATGGCAAATGCCTCTTCAATTATTACCTTGGCAGTTTTCTTTCTTATTGGATCATCATTTTAAAATACCTTTTCAGAACAGTTGACTGGATGCTTTTGGTATGCAGACTCCTGATTAAGTGATCTTCTATCCTCATTAAGAAGACCCTTTTGGATGTTTCTGACTAATCTTCTGCCATCTCACTTTCACTTTCCTGGTATAAATTTTTGGTTTACTACTCAGTGGTTGGCTCTCAAAACAGGAAAGCAAGTTTGACTTCATAAAACCAACAGCTAACACTTGCACAGTGGTTTACCACTTACAAAGCAAGTACTGTTCACTCTCATTGTCTCACTCCCCACACCGTGGGGTCATGGCAGGGACTCCAAATCACCAAGGAGGAAACGGCCATCCCAGAGGCGCTCTGCAGCAGCCGCGTTGATGGTGTCTGTGGCTTCACCCTATGTGTGCTCCACGGTCAGATTCTCCGCTGCCACAACAAGATTCGATAGTTCCTTGTGTCCCACACAGCTTTACGTACAGTGCCTTACGCGTGGTCTTCAGTAAACACATGCAAAATTGAAGCATCAGTGAGTGAAAGATCACTGGAAATTGTGGCTTTCTCTCTGAAAATCCAAATTTCCTAACCTAGGGTCTAAAACTGTCTGTGAATTTCCTCAAGTCGTAGGTAAAAATGTGTTCGTGTGTTGGCTCACACATGTGTGCAGTTCTCAGGGAAGAAGATATCCTCATTTTTCATCAGATTCTCAAAGGAGTCCATGACTCAAGTAAAGTTAATAATAAGTGCTTTTAAAAATTAAACAGAGAACCCCAAAATGTTGTAAGATTTTAGTTAGCATTCATAACAAAAGATATCAATCATTAGAAAGTTACATTTAGGCTGGGTGCGGTGGCTCACACCTGTAATCCCAGCACTCGGGGAGGCCGAGGCGGGTGGTCACTTAGAGTCAGGAGTTTGGGACCAGCCTGGCCAATATGGCAAAACCCCATCTCCTCTAAAAATACAAAAATTAGCCAGGCCTGGTGGTCCACGCCCATAATCCCAGCTACTTGGAAGGCTGAGGCACGAGAATCACTTGAACCTGGGAGGTGGAGGTTGCAGTGAGCAGAGATCACGCATTTTTTGGTTGTGGAGATCACGCCACTGCACTCCAGCCTGGGTGACAGTGCAAGACTCCGTCTCAAAAAAAAAAATAAAAAATAAAAAACATTTAAACTCTGTGTTACCTAAAGGATATCAAAATTTTGTGTCTGTGCTAATTGATGTTGGTTTGTTAGAGCTTTAAACTATTGAGGTCGAAGCTTGGGCTTCAGTCTTCCTCCTGGCCAATTAATAGCCTCGTTAAGTGGCTGAGGATTTCACTGAGTCCTGCCAGTCCCCTTGAAAATGCCCATGAGGGGTTAGCAAAAGGGAAGGCAGGGAATTACAGAATGCCAATCAATTCCATCCCTGTGCTTCCTGGGTTGTTTGTGTTTTCATAGCTTCAGTGTGAATATAACTTGGATTTTAGCTGAGAAGTAGCTTGACACAGGTTAAAGTGTCATTTTCTTTATTTCCTCCAGCTTTGAGAGAATTTGTTACCCCAGTATTGGACATTCCAGAATTCTGTTTACTCACAAGTTAGACTGCATACCTTCTGTTACACTGGTTGCTTCTGGGAGAAGGATCCGCTTCCTCTTTATCTCCGTAAACCCAGTTCTATTAGTGTCAGTTATTGTCGTGAAGCTTGAGTGAAAGTCGATCACACAGAATCACCAAGTCAAAATAAAGGACTTTTCTAGGAACGAATTACATCAGTAGATAACCTAACTTAAATTATAATATACTAGTGAATAATTTTTTATCACTGAGTACTTTTCTCTCTGTAGAATATAGTATAATCAGACAGAGTAAGCTGTTATTTCCTCTCCTGGGCATATTATTCTGTATCTTTTATCTCTTACAATATTGAAGGAATATTAAAAGGAACTCAAAATGAATAAGCACACAAAAAATGAGAAATATAAGCATAACTCTTTTAGTCTGTAAAATGTCAGTAGTTAAATAGGAGTTGTGAAGTGCCAGTTTTTACAAATTATGAATATTCAAAAGATACAAAAACATGTTTAAATCAAAGCAAAATATATAGATTGAGTATTCCTTATCTGAAATGCTTGGGAACAGAAATGTTTTGGGTTTTGGAGTATCTGCATTATACTTACTGGTCGAACATCCCAAATCCAAAAACAGAAATGCTCCAATGAGCATGTCCTTTGGACGTTAAGTCAGCACTCAAAAAGTTCAGATTTTGGAACATTTCAGATTTCAGATTTTTGGATTGGGGTACTCAACCTGTATATTATGTGACAGTGACTAACAAGAAACATTTATTCATGAAGGAATGAGTAAACGTAGTACCTCCTTGGTTGAAGCAGGAGTTCTAAGGTATGTACCCAAGTTTGAATTCTTCAGTATCTTATCTGTCATATATTGGTAGTAGCTGGCAATATTGATCCCTTTTTTGGAGCTGTTCTTCCAATTAAATTTTTAGAAGCAAATGCTGAAATCATCATCCTTGCACTTTTTGAACATATCCTATTGATTATACTGTCGTTCTAAATATTTACAATGTATTCTTTCAAATATTTGTGGATATAATAGAAAGCATGTCTCTATGACATTGTATGCTTTACTGAAGTGACATTAGATATTCCCCTGTTTACACACATTCATATGGTTAATGACTCATGTTACCTATTAAGGTTTCCTGTTTCCTGATTTAAAAGATATTTAAAGGCCTCAGTACTGAAATGTTTATTTTTACCTCTGGATCTTCTGCTTCATATAGTAACATATACAGGCTAAATACCTATTTTAACACCACCAGACCCACTTTTTACCTTTATTATGAAACTAGGGTTTGGTCAGCTGAGGGCAAGCTGTATGCATAACATAGCTGGCAGTATAGTCGGTGAACTGTCACCGAGAAGAGAGTCAAAATGTAAACACTGAGCAATTCTACAGCAGCTTAGAGCCGGGATTAACTGGGATCACCTAGTATTCTGTTTTTAATGAAACTCTCTCCCTTGTATTTTCATGTTTGGGAGAGAGTCCAAAGTTATCTCATGCTAATTTAGTTAGGCAGTGCCCTCCGGGGATGTCACAGGCTTCCCTGACCTCTCCAGAGAGAGATTCAGTGAAGGGATGAGGAGAATTAAACATTCCTGAGAAATTGGAAAGCAACAACCCCCAGAGAATTTGCAGAGAAACTCGCTCCAGACTCGGCTGCCAGAGACTCAAGTCACCTTTTCAGCACTTGCTTAACATCTCTCTCAGTCCCATCTGGCTTGACTCAGAGGTCAGTCTGGGAGACTCGGGAGTGGTGGCAGCTCAGAGAAGAATTCAAGGGAGGGCCACCAATAGCACATTCTGCTCTTGTTGCTTGTTTTTATCTGAAGTACATTTGAAAAGATGGACAGGGCATAAGGTTGAAGTAATAACTTGACTTTGCTTGGCCATCTTTTTTTCCTTTTAACCCAAAATTTACTTTAAGGTGAACTGGTATTTTTATTTCCCAAATAATAAGTTCCTTGATTCTTGATGACTGAAACTTAAGAGTTGTTGTCGTTTCTGTTATACAGGACCTCTGTGACTAATTATTTTGTAATTAGCCATTTTACAAAGGATATTTTCTTTTATGCGTTTAATGAAATTTGGGGGGGTGGTGGGTGGAAAATATGTTTCCGGTTTTAAAATCATATTCCCTTTGTGGTTTACATTTCGTATATGAAGAATTTCAGAAAACTAGGAAAACAAAAGTATTATTAAATATTGAATCTGTATTATAAACAAATCTAAGGAGCTACATTTTATAGTTTGTTCATTTCATTTTCTACTGAACAGAATAAAGTTCAGTGTGCCCTACAGCTGTGGTGTGAGAGGAAGGTTTGGGGATCCCTGCTCGATTTTACACTTAAGTCAGATTCAGCAGGAAATAAAGAACCCTTACCCGGTGCTCCTTTAAGCCAGATTGCTGAGCTGGGAGACCTAGCTGACCAGATCTGGCCCATTGCCAGGCTTTGTTTAGTCCAGTCAGTGTTTCAGCCCACAGCTAACATTTTAGAGTTTGTTGGGTTTTTAAAAAACATAACGCAGTTTTTAGCATGTTCGATGTGCAGCTCCTCCGTGTAAGCAGATCTGGTGAGACTGGTTCAACATCCCCAGGTGGGAACCGTCTGTGGGAAACGGGGCGCTTGCTGGGCCTTCTAGAAGGGGAGAGCCTCTGCAGGCTGCCTGAGGTGAGCTTCCCTGGGCTCCGGAGGCACTGGAGTAGCGAGGCCCACCTTAGACCCTCCTCCCGAGCCATACACAAGAGAGAAATCACTTTTCAAAGTAAGCGACTTTGTTCATTAGAAAGTGAGTTATAGCAGATATATAAATATGATACTCATTTCTTCATTGGTTCCCATTAGGATTCTCAAGATGCTTTTCTCTCTCCGTGGTGGCCTACAAAGAGACCTGGCCCGGGAGACGGAAGGTGTGGGTTCTAACGCAGAGCCTTTCCCCAGCACCTGAAACAGCTCATGCACCGCGTTTCCTGAAGCCCAAATGAATCTGCTGCCTCGAAAGTTCTGTGGTCTTTGCTCCTGTCCAATTTCCAGTGACTCAATGCACATCAGCTTAAATTAGCTAACTTCTCCTTGCTTCTGTGCCACACACAAAAATTAATCATGGCATCAGGTATCTTGATGCACTGAAAGAGTATTACATTTAAACAGACGGGCAGCGAATCCATGAATCATCCTGAGCTTCACATACCCACCCTCCATTTCACATGTGTCGTTTTCATATAGTGCAGCCGCTCTGCCCACTGGGAGAGAGGACGTTTGCAGCTGATTTCTGAAGTAGAGGAGTTAATAAAGGCACCAGGCATGTTTCGAAGGACCCAGGTGAAAGCCTTCTTACATCCTCAGCCCTTTGCTTTAGGGCTGAAGATAGGACAGAGAGAAGAGTCCTGGGCTGAGTCTCGCAAGGGCCTTCTCAAGGCCTTTGCGTTTGTTCTGCTATTTCCTAAACCTTTCTCCACTGTGCCGAAGGAGTTAAAGGGCTCCGAGCCCTAACCCTCCATCGGGGAGTGTCTCGGGCACCAGCGAGAATCTGGCACAGGACATGTTTTCATGGAACTGCTTATCAAAACTAAGCTTCTGCCGTTTCATTTAGACGGGGTAGATTGGGTGGAAAACTGGCCCAGGGACCAGGAAATTTGCCTTCTGTTCCTGCTCAGCCGCCGCGTGACCCTGTTGCAGGTCAGTCCTCCAAGCATGTCTCAGTTTCTCCATCTGTAAAATTAGACAATGAAATGAATGTTATTTATAAGAAACCTGAGGGAAATCCTTCTGATTATCTTCACTGAAACAATGCGAATGAATATTTTTGTGGGGGCTCTGCCTTGCTCTCTTCCTGGGCTCACTCTTGCCTAGCGCCTTCTTATCTGCTCGAGGGGTTTTTCAGACCACAGCCTTCTCAGTGCTTGTTAATGGGTTGTGTTCCCATCTCACCTTCTTGTTAACACCATCCCCAGCTCTAGGAAAAGAGGCGGTGGCCTTGGGAACTCTTTATGCCAAAATAAACAACAAAGTTTGGAAACATTTAGACCAAGATAATTAGGAAAATGGTGTTGAATAAAAGATAGCATTAGAATTGCTACCATGCTTAAGTTAGAATCCGGTTCCAAAAAGCACAATCTCCAGTTAACTGATCTGTTGTAAATTTTTTTTTTCTTTTTGGTTTAGTTTTGTTTTTTAAAAGATTTAAATTGTTTAAATCTTCTGATCACTCCTGTCAGTTAAGGTTTCTTCCTCATTGAGAAGTCACACTGGGGGGAAAAAAATGTGCCCACAGCTGTTTACTATTTAGCAACACTATTAAAGGAACACTATTTAACAATAATTCATGAAGCTCCCTACTCAGAAAAAAAGACAGCTCCTCTGAACTATCTACCTATATAATACAAATTTATTTTCTTGAAATTGCAAAAACCCGCATGTTGAGACAAACATATAAATTGCCAGGATTTTTGTGTTCTTTCAGAACTTAAATATAACCAAACGATTTTGGGCAAGGAATCAGAAATTCTTTAGAACGGAAATGTTGAAACCCCAGATTCAGTTCTAAAACTCATCTTTCAAAAAGAATTCATGCTCTGAAAAATGCAGCGTTTTTATGTTTGGTATGATAACAGCCCCATGGAATTATCACATCATATCTTGACGATCGTTACGGAGCGGTGATGATCTCTTAGGCATTAACCCAGGATTTTCTCCAATAATATTATCATTTATAACAGCAATAACATTTTGTAGATCACAGAGTGCTTTTAACATATTATCTGATGGGATACCTAAAACCCTATAACCTGTGTAAGAAAATCAAGGGTGAAATGAGTAAGTTGTCTAAAGTGACAAGCCTATTCCAGACAGGGCCCAGCGTTTTAGGACTTCAGTCCAAGTTCTTTTCACTACATGATATTAAGACTATCCTTTATCATCGAGTATTTTCCTGTAAAAATAATTCATTTGGAAAGATGAAGAAACACATAAAGCCTCCATCTCTTGCCTCTGTGAACCTCTCGGCTCTCACATCCCACACACGGGCCTCCGTTTTGAGTGCATGTTTTCGTATTCACCCTCACAGCACATTCCCAGCTTTAAATAGTTGTCTCCCATCTTGTATGAATGTACATTTGTGATCACAGAAAGGCCTTCTCAGTTACCAGCACTGTTTTTACTGCTGGGAACAAAATCATTTCAAACAAACAGCTTTTTTTTTTCTTCGCTCCTTCACTCTTAACCCCCAGCCTCAGTAGCACTACGAGGAGATGTACCGGACAAGCAGCAGGCAGGCCTACAATGCCCGCTCTGTCTTTCCCCTGCAGACCCTCCAAACTAGCAGGGGTGCCTGCCAAGAGGGGGTGCCTCAGCTCCAGTGGATCGCAGCTTCAGCAAATGGCACTGCTCCCTCCAAGGGAGCCCTCCACCTGTGCCCCCAGTGTGGAGACAGGGAGCACTCTTCACTCTCAGGAGCGGATGTTCACTACTTTCACTAGTGGTCCTAGCAAAGTTTCAAACTGAGCTACTGAGTGGGAGACAGATTCGTACCAATGGAGAAACTGGTTCTTCCGCTTTCTAGATTTCATGCCACCATGATGACTGGGATGTCCCATTGTTCCCCCTGGGCAAACCGGAAATCCATTTTACTGTTAGAAATACTAGATCTTTAAAAAATCTGTTTATTCTGGAGTCAGTCACACACAGGGCAATCTATGTGAAAGAAAAGAGGAAGGAGCAGTTGCATAATTGTCATACCATCCATCATGTTCATTCTCACACTGACCATGGTTTTTAATGTCTGTCCACCTGCAGTCTGTGGCCTCGCCAGACAGTAAGGGCAGCGCCCTGGAAGTGGGGGATTTATCACTTGCCAGTAGGTTTACTCTTGGGGAGACGCTGGGGTTTTATCTCCATGCCCCTGGAGAATTGACTTACTGAATGCTTCCCTTGAAGACCTAAGTCACTGGTTCTTCAGCCCCTTTGCATAGTCCTCTCACTGAAATCAGAACTGAATTTGTTCTTTTTCATTTTTGGTTAAGAAGATGCACATTAGAAGACAGCTCAGAGCAATGGGGCTGACCTAGTGGGAAAAGACACTGGTTTCTTTTCACGTTTCTGGATGGCCCGTGGCCCACATCTGCCAGCATCTTCGCACGTGTCCACAGCACCAGTCAGCCTCACCCACCTTGTCTTTCCCTTTGCGATCTTAGAAAGAATTTGGTAGAAATGGGAACCGAAGATTGAGCAGAAAGTATAATTACCACATGTATTTACCAGCTCATTTTCAAGAGCAGTAAAAGTACACTAAACATTCTGCTTGTACATACACTAGCACTTTAAAACTACCAGCTTTCTAAAACATGGTTTTGATTTTTGGAGCAAACATTCAATTGCTATTCTTTGATATTATTGATTTATAAACAAAATGATCAGCATTCCCTAATGTCTCGAAGCAAAGAAATTAGGGTAACACATTTAAAATTTATCAGTTTGAAACTTTCTAAATACTCTTCCTTAATAATAACCACAATACACTGAAAATGTCAAGTTCTGTAAAAAATGAACAGGGACGCGAATGTGTCGGGCTTCATTTTGAAGACCCAGCGTGTTTCTCATCCTCCCCAGGAAGGGAAGGTTGAAATCATGAAGTTAACATCTGCCTTTTCGTAAACACCACCTCAAAGTGCTCTTTCTCTTAGGTTGGAGGCTGAAAGAAAGAAGCACAAATCTTCCCTGGGCCAAGAGTTTCATCATAAGCCCTGTGTGATCAATAAGTACATTGTGGTGGTTATTTCATAGCTGATTAACTTATATGTCTACAAGCCAACACTTGACTTGAAAGGCTGGTCGGGTTGCTCGCCGTGCGAGCATGGCCTTTACCAGCCTGCCCTGGCAGCCAGCTCTGGGACTGCTCACTCCTGACCACAACCCGGGTACAGCCCTGAAGTTTCGTCGTGAGTAACCCGTCAGCAGGAGCCCATGCCTCTCTGAAAGGGCATTTTGTCTTTTTTGGCAGTACCAAATGGCAGGATAATTAGTGTTAGGGAGGGAAAAAACAGAATTGAAAACCACATCCGATACCTGGTTATGGACTCTTCAACTTTGTGGAGGCAGAAAATGTGGTGGCTTTATTTTTCTTAATAAATGCAGACGGTTATAAGCAATTGAGCATTTAATGATGAGATGATGCTGAAAGGCATAACTTAATAAAAATTGCCTCTGTGTTTCTCACTTCATGGTTGAAACAGACTGTGCTTCTCGGCTTTTTCTGTAATCAGGTTTATATCAGATTGTCCTTTAATTCACGTTAAGATCTTACATCTTAGTACTTCCTCTTAGAGTTTTTGTATTCCTCCTTGCAAAGTCTCTGTTTCATTTTTAGGGAAAGGGTTTCCTATAGTTTTTTTTTCGTCTCCAGTGTTGCTTTTAATTTCACCAATTATGGAGTAAATAAATCATTGTGTACTTGGAAGAAAAATTGGCAGGAGAGCAGAATATGTTAAGGACTCTTGCTTTTCATTGTGAGCGAGATTTCCCAACTGGAGCGTCTCTGTTTTATTTTGCCTCTGGCTAACATCTGAAGATCAGTAATAAAGCTCTATGCAAATACTTTCATGTATTAAAAGAACAATATTTTGACACTCATTGACACAAGCAAAAAAAATACAACATTAAATTAGTGTTCAGGCAAACAATGAAGACATTGTTCATTCACATGAAATGCATGTGAAAAATGCTGTGTTATATTAACAGAAAAGCTTGCTCCTCAGAACTCGACCTTTAGCACTGGCGTAAATGACATTACTTATGGTGCTGTATAGTATTAGACAGGCTTTCTTGTTAACAGTCTTGAGCAGCCGTTGATAACTTGTCAGACTACTGAGAATTTTAGTCACCAAAAAATAAATGTTCATTCTCAGTACCTGATAATTTAAGTTTCTCACAGATTTTTTAAATTATCTTTTGGATATTTTAGAGTTTTCAAATACTCGATAAGTTAAATACTTTAAAAGTGTTAATTCATTGTAGGCTTTTTCTACTTGTTTTTCCAGATTTCATCTAGAATTAAGTAGACTTAATTTTTTAAAAACTCCCTTGATCATCTATAATGTGTTTTTAAAATAATTGAACTTCAAGGTACGCTCTTGATTTTTATTCTGAATCTTGGAGAACACAGGGGGCCTTTTGTTTAATTTTCAGTCATGTGGACAGGCCCTTCCATGGAAGGGGAGGTTTCTCTAGATGACTCTTTGCATGTATGTAGTAGAATTTCTTTCCTCCTTTATCACTACACTCAAATGTTACAGTTACAATCATTGTTTTCTTAAATACAACTGGCTTCCCTTTTCATCTGTGTTGATCCAGGACATTGCAGAGTCAGCATCTGGGAAATCATTATGCCAACAGACCATCCCAGTCCCGGGTGAGGTCAAGTTAGTAAGAGCAATTGGACCACCCGAAAGAACAAAGCTCAGATACTCCTCATAGTGGGACATTCTCAGATTAGCAAACAAAAATTAAAAGAAGAATGATTAAATCTAATTATATTCAGCATGTTTTTCAGAGTACTGAGTGGAAGAGTGACTTTTAACTTGACATCTAGATTTTTGTGAATGAAGACACTGGGGAAACACATTTGAAATGAGTTTTAACCAACAAGTTGCATAGGACACTAGGTTCCCAGTTACAAAGACGGTGCATGTCCCAGCCTGCCATCTTTAGAGGCGCTCAAGGGTGGGCGGTCCTCGGCGGTGGGGACTGCGGGGGCCATGGGTTGATGACACCCTCATGAGGACCCTGAGTACTCCTCCTCCTCTGGTGTACTGGGTTGTCTCCTCTGTGTTCCCACAGCTCCTTTCACACTGGCCCCTCTCCCATCATTTTAGTGGCTGGCTGGGCAAGTGGCCATCTTCCCCACTGGATACTGAGGTCAACAGGTGGTGACTTATCCCCCCTGGAGCTCCCTTCTTACCACTGAATACAGAGCTGATACACAACTGGTCCCATATACTCGTGGTCCAGAAGTCCTATTTGCTCTTTATCCAAACTTGTTTGCTAAAGGAGCAGAAACCAACTCAAAGAAATTCATGGAAAACGGGATTTTTTGTAAGGAGCCTCAGGGCACCTCGCAGGAATGGGAAAGGAGGATCTGCTTTCCTCTGTGTCTGCACATCTCCCTCACTCCCTCCCTCCTCGTGGGCTCCCTTTCCCACTCTGCTGCCCACACAGGTCTTCATGCCTCCCAGTCTCTCCAGCTGGCTCCGCCCCGGTGACAGTCTCACGCCTGGGTGCTCAGCCCTTTCCTGCTGTTTCTGCCTCTGGGTCTCTTACTGCAAATGTCTTTGACATTCCCATTGGCCCAGAATATGTTAGGTCTCCATCCATGGAAACCGAAGGGTGTTGGGGGGTGGGGGGCTGGGGCGCAGTAGGCACAGGGACACATCACCTGGTTTAAATACACCTGGCTTGACTCACTCCTTCATCAAGAGCAGTGTGTGGGGACAGTCTTATTAGGAGGAAGGTTTTAGAAAGGAGCCATACCTGATAGTTCCCTGATAACTACCTGAAGCCTCTGTCCCAAAAGTTATTTCTTAAATCAGATTTGGACTTTTAAAACGCTTTTTCCTATATAAATGTTTAAAGCACGTAGGCCAGGCACAGTGTCTTCCCTGTCTGTTCCTACGTGGTCTATCGCCAGACTCTAGCACAGTGCCCAGCAACTAGCAGGCACACTGTAAACATTCATTTCTTGTCTGGTCAGGTCCCCAGGTTAGCTCACAAAAGTCCACACAGCTATTTGTAACCAGCACGTAGAATTGAGTTTCAACAAGAAAATGTATTCTACACACAGCCATTAGGAGAATGCACAAGAGCATCATGCAGTCGCAAGAATACAGGAAAGGGAGTTGAGGTTCCAGCCCCAGCTCTAACACTTAGCAGGTGTATGACTTCAGGTGAACCATTTAATCTCTCCAGTTTCAGCTGCTTCATCTTTAACATTTGTGGAATTGAATGACAACACCTCTAAGGCCCCTTCCAGCTATTAAATTCTGTGGCTGTGACTAACATAATCAGGATTTAATTCACTCCACCCTATCAGTCTTCCTTCCCCATGCTATTTATGGGTGCAAGAGTTTGGTTGTGGAGATGAACTACACATTCTCCTGGGCACCAGTAACTCCCTCAAGATACGTAATCATCATTGTCATCATCCTGATGAAAAAATTAGCCGGGCGTGGTGGCGCACACCTGTAGTCCCAGCTACTCTAGAGGCTGAGGCGTGAGAATCACTTGAACCCGGGAGGCAGAGGTTGCAGTGAGCTGAGATCGTGCCACTACACTCCAGCCTGGGCGACACAGTGAGACTCCGTGTCAAAAATAATAAATACATAAAACAGCCCCCTGAGGTAGGGATTATTATTATTTTTTGAGAAAAGGCTGGTCTCTAACTCCTGACCTCGGGTGATCCACCTGCCTTGGCTTCCCAAAGTGCTGGGATTACAGGCGTGAGCCACCGCGCCTGTAATCCAGAAGTCACCCAGTGAATAGTGGGGCTGGAGCTTAGACGCGGGTTTCTGATTCCCAGCCCAAGCTCTAGACACAGAGTTTCTCAGCGCGCTTCCCAGATCAGCAGCCTCCTGCTTCACCCTGGAACTTGCACATTCTCCAGCTCCACCCAGGCCTATTGAATCTGTAGCTCCAGGCCTCAAGGGGGCCAGCAGCCTGCGTTCTAATCTTCCAGAGGATTGCAGTGCACACTTCTAGCCTGACAGATGATTCTAATGCACGCTAACGTTTGAGAACACCTACCCCCTCTGCAGCACTACATTTCACCAAACTCCAGAGGGTTTCTCAGGTGTTTACTCCCAGGTATTCCAATTGGGGAGAGAGTGTGGTATGAGTGCCCATTTGTGGATGGATGAGGCAGGCAGGCATTCAAACGTCAAGTGCCTGTAAATTAGGAGCTAGTTGTGCTACTTTTCAAACACTCACTCTCTCCCAGTTGTCATCGCTGATGAAATCACTACTGAAGAAGTCAGGAGGTGGAGATAATGACCAAGAAGGGAGGAGGGGCCATTATTCCTCCAGCCGTGCTGTGGAGAAAATGAGGAGGCCTTCTCCAAGAAGCCCCGGCAGAGAGTTTTAGCAGGATAAGCAAACAGGATTAGAGTAGGGTGTCACATAGCAAGGTTCCTTCTCCCTCTTGAACATAAGGCTGGCTCTGTAGCCCCACGCAGCCCAGCGTGGTAGCCACAGCCTTGTGTGTCTGCTGAGCACTCAAATTGTGCCTCTTCTGAGTGGAGATGTCCTGTGAGGACAAAAGACAGGCTACACTTCAAAGTCTTGGTACATAGAAAAGGAACGTGAAATATCTCAATCATATTTTGTATTGAAATGGTAACATACTGGATATATTCGATTAAATGAAACATCAAATTTAGCTTCACCTTTTCTTTTTACTTTTTCAATGCAACTGATAGAAAATTTTATATTACGTGTGGCTCACATTATATTTCTATTGGGCAGTGCTGTTTTAGAATAATCCTGAAAGTCCTGTCTACATCCACCTTAATGCACGCACTGTGATGTCCATAAGTTGATATTTTCTGGTAACAGTGATTGTCAACACTTCAACCAAGAAACCTAGTGGGCCTAGAATCAGTTCAGAGGTTAAATTCCCAAGGTCAGAGTTAGACCAAGAGGCAGAATCAGGTGCTCAGGATGACTAGCTTGAAGAATAAGGTCATAGAAAGGTCATAATGGCTTCCCAGGAACAGATTTAGGTAGCACAGTCAGGAGCCAAGAGCATGGAGATGAAGGATCAGGTGGTCATGAGTGTAAAGAAACTTCCTCCTGCATGCCCAGAGCTTTTATGTTGTTCCTACTGGGCCAGGAACTAATTCTAGAATGGCTTACCCAGGTATCCGAGCGACAGAAGATAATTGGAAACACCTGGCTGAAGTAGGTGGCTTGGCACGCTCCAGGAAACAACCACTTCTGGGAAGTACGTTGTGACAGCAGTGGTATTGGGCCAGTTAGAGCATTCGTTAGATTAGAGTGACCTGAAAGTGAGCTCCCATATCCCAGGTGTATGCGTCGTGAGTTATTTTTGCCCTCATTTAAACCTGTCACTGCACGATGTTAAAGATAGATGGAGCTTAATTAAAAACTGCAAGCTGAAGCAATGTTTATATTAGAGACAAGAATAATAACTTCATTGCTATATTGAAACAATCAGCTGACATTAGAGTTATCACAAGATAGCTCTTTGTGGTAGATTTTTTTCTAGAGATGGCTACGGTAACCCCTCCCATCCTGCGTGTCCTTTTGCAGTGTGACTCTACCACCCCTCCCATAAGGGGGAGAGTCTGTTTCCCCTTTGTTTGAATTTGGGCTGATCCTGTCGCCAATGCGTGCGGAGGAAGTGAACTGGACAGCTTCCAGGCCAAGGCCTTAGGATGCTTTGTGGCTTTTGTTTTGCCACCTTGGAAGCAGCCACCACGTAAAGAAGCATCGTCTAGACTAATGAACAATGTCAGAACGCTTAGCTGGAGAATGGCCACGTGGAGGAGAACTGAGGTGCATCCAGCACCCAGCACCAGACCTGTGAGGGAGGCCATCTTGGCCCCACTGCCCCAGTCAGTCCGCCTTGGCCATCACCACCGGGAGCAGAGAGGAACTGTCCTCTGAGCCCTCTTGAGTTCCTGCACACTGAATCACAAACAATCAAAAGGCTGCAGCCAGCCGGGCATGGTGGCTCATGCCTGTAATCCCAGCACCTTGGGAGGCCGAGGCGGGCAGATCACCTGAGGTCAGGAGTTCAAGACCAGCCTGACCAACATGGTGAAACCCTCTCTCCACTAAAATAAAACACACACAAAAATTAGCTGGACGTGGTGGTAGGTGCCTGTAATTCCAGCTACTCAGGAGGCTGAGGCAGGAGAATTGCTTGAACACGGGAGGCGGAGGTTGCAGTGAGCTGAGATTGCGCCATTGTACTCCAGCCAGGGAGACAAAAGCGAAACTCCATCTCAAAAAAAAAAAAAAACCAGAACAAAAGGCTGCAGCCATGAAGCTTTGGGATGGCTTATTAAGCATCAGCAGACAGTGAAACAGCCTTTGTTTATATGTGTATTTTTCATTAAGCTTCTTTCATACATTATTTACATGGTCACATAATTGGGGAATATATTGTTTATGGTAATTCTGTTCATATCCTTTGCCCACTTTTGGAGGGGGTTGTTGTTTTCTTTTACATTTGTTTAAGTTCCTTATAGATTCTGCATATTAGCCCTTTGTCAGATGGATAGATTGCAAAATTTTTCAACCATTCTGTAGGTTGCCTGTTTACTCTGATGATAGTTTCTTTTGCTGTGCAACAGCTCTTTAGTTTAATGAGATCCCATTTGTCAATTATGGCTTTTGTTTCCATTGCTTTTGGTGTTTTAGTCATGAAGTCTTTGCGCATGCCTATGTCCTGAATGGTATTGCCTAGGTTTTCTTCTAGGGTTTTTATTGTTTTAGGACTTACTTAAGTCTTTAATCCATCTTTAGTTAATTTTTGTATAAGGCATAAGGAAGGGGTCCATTTTCAGTTTTCTGCATATGGCTAGCCAGTTTTCCCAGCACTATTTATTAAATAGGGAATCCTTTCCCCATTGCTGTTTTGGGTACAGTGGTCTTGCAGTATAGTTCGAAGTCAGGTAGTGTGATGCCTCCAGCTTTGTTCTTTTTGCTGACGATTGTCTTGGCTATACGGGCATTTTTTTGGTTCCATATGAAATTTAAAGTAGTTTTTTCTAATTCTATGAAGAAAGTCAGTGGCAGCTTGATGGGGATAGCATTGAATCTACAAATTACTTTGGGCAGTATGTCCATTTTCATGATATTCATTCTTCCTATCCATGATCATGGAAAGTTTTTCCATTTCTTTGTGTCCTCTCTTGTTTCCTTGAGCAGTGGTTTATAGCTCTCCTTGAGGTCCCTCACATCTCTTGTAAGTTGTATTCCTAGGTATTTTATTCTCTTTGTAGCAATTGTGAATGGGAGTTCACTCATGATTTGGCTGTTTGTCTATTATTGGTATATAGGAATGCTTGTGATTTTTGCACATTGATTTTGTACCCTGAGACTTTGCTGAAGTTGCTTATGAGCTTAAGGAGATTTTGGGCTGAGACAGTGGGGTTTTCTAAATATACAATCATGTCATCTGCAAACAGATAATTTGACTTACTCTCTTCCTGTTTGAATACTCTTGATTTCTTTCTCTTGCCTGATTGCCCTGGCCAGAACTTCCAACACTATGTTGAAAAGAAGTGGTGAGAGAGGGCATCCTTGTCTTGTGCCAGTTTTCAAAGGGAATGCTTTTGCCCATTCAGTATGATATTGGCTGTGGGTTTGTCATAAATGGCTGTTATTATTTTGTTATTATTTTGAGATACGTTCAATCAGTACCTAGTTTATTGAGAGTTTTTAGCATGAAGGGGTGTTGATTTTTATCGAAGGCCCTTTCTGCATCTGTTGAGATAATCATGTGGGTTTTGTCATTGGTTCTGTTTATGTGATGGATTATATTTATTGATTTGTGTATGTTGAACCAGCCTTGCATCCCAGGGATGAAGCCGACTTGATCGTGGTGGATAAGCTTTTTGATGTGCTACTGGATTTGGTTTGCCAGGATGTTATTGAGGATTTTCACATCGATGTTCATCAGGGATATTGGCCTAAAATTGTCTTTTTTTGTTGTGTCTCACCAAGTTTTGGTATCAGGATGATGCTGGCCTCATAAAATGAGTTAAGGAGGATTCCTTCTTTTTCTCTTGCTTGGAATAGTTTCAGAAGGAATGGTACCAGCTCCTCTTTGTACCTCTGGTAGAATTCGGCTGTGAATCCATCTGGTCCTGGACTTTTTTGGTTGATAGGTATTACTGCCTCAATTTCAGAACTTGTTATTGGTCTATTCAGGGATTTGACTTCTTCCTGGTTTAGTCTTGGGAGGGTGTATGTGTCCAGGAATTTATCCATTTCTTCTAGAATTTCTAGTTTATTTGCATAGAGGTGTTTATAGTATTCTCTGATGGTAGTTTGTATTTCTGTGGGATCAGTGGTGATGTCCCCTTTATCATTTTATATTGTGTCTATTTGATTCTTCTCTCTTTTCTTCTTTATTATTCTGGATAACAGTCTACCTATTTTGTTGATCTTTTCAAAAAACCAGCTCCTGTATTCATTGATTTTTTGAAGGGTTTTTCATGTCTCTAATCTCCTTCAGTTATGCTCTAATGTTAGTTATTTCTTGTCTTCTGCTAGCTTTTGAATTTATTTGCTCTTGCTTCTCTAGTCCTTTTAATTGTGATGTTATGGTGTTGATTTTAGATCTTTTCTGCATTCTCCTGTGGGCATTTAGTACTATAAATTACCCTCTAAACACTGCTTTAGCTGTGTCCCAGAGATTCTGGTGTGTTGTGTCTTTGTTCTTGTTGGTTTCAAATAACTTATTTAGTTCTGCCCTAATTTTGTTATTTACCCAGTAGTCATTCAGGAGCAGGTTGTTCAGTTTCCATATATTTGTGTGGTTTTGAGTGCGTTTCTTAATCCTGAGTTTTAATTTGATTGCACTGTGGTCTGAGAGACTGTTATGATTTCCATGCTTTTGCATTTGCTGAGGAGTGTTTACTTCCAATTATGTGGTCAGTTTTAGAATAAGTGGAATGTGGTGCTGAGAAGAAATTATATTCTGTTGATTTGGGGTGGAGAGTTCTGTAGCTGTCTATTAGATCCGCTTGGTCCAGAGCTGAATTCAAGTCCTCAATATCCTTGTAAATTTTCTGTCTCAATGATCTAATATTGACAGTGGGGTGTTAAAGTCTCCCACTATTATTGTGTGGGAGTCTAAGTCTCTTTGTAAGTCTCTAAGAACTTGCTTTATGAATCTGGGTGCTCCTGTATTGGGTGCATATATATTTAGGATAGTTAGCTCTTCTTGTTGCATTGATCCCTTTACCATTATGTAATGCCCTTCTTTGTCTTTTTTGATCTTTGTTCATTTAAAATCTGTTTTATCAGAGACTAGGATTGCACCCCCTGCTTTTTTTTCTTTTTTGCTTTCCATTTGCTTCGTAAATATTCCTCCATCCCTTTATTTTGAGCCTATGTGTGTCTTTGCACATGAGATGGGTCTCCTGAATACAGCACACCGATGGGTCTTGACTCTTTATCCAGTTTGCCAGTCTGTAAGTTTTAATTGGGGCATTAAGCCCATTTACATTTAAGGTTACTATTGTTATGTGTACATTTGATCCTGTCATTATGATGCTAGCTGGTTATTTTGGCCATTAGTTGATGAAGTTTCTTCATAGTGTTGATGGTCTTTACAATTTGGCATGTTTTTGCAGTGGATGGTACCGGTTTTTCCTTTCCATATTTAGTGTTCTTTCAGGAGCTCTTGTAAGGCAGGCCAGGTGGTGACAAAATCTCTCAGCATTTGCTTGTCTGTAAAGGATTTCATTTCTCCTTCGCTTTTGAAGCTTACTTTGGCTGGATATGGAATTCTGAGTTGAAAATTCTTTTATTTAAGAATGTTGAATATTGGCCCCACTCTCTTCTGGCTTGTAGGGTTTCTGCCGAGAGATCTGCTGTTAGTCTGATGGGCTTCCCTTTGTGAGTAACCCGACCTTTCTCTCTGACTGCCCTTAACATTCTTTCCTTCATTTCAACCTTGGTGAATCTGACGATTATGTATCTTGGGATTGCTCTTCTTGAGGAGTATCTTTGTGGTGTTCTCTTTATTTCCTGAATTTGAATGTTCGCCTGTCTTGCTAGATTGGGGAAGTTCTCCTGGGTAATATCCTGAAGAGTGTTTTCCAACTTGGTTCCATTCTTCCCATCACTTTCAGGTACACCAATCAAAGGTAGGTTTGGTCTTTTCACATAGTCCCATATTTCTTGAAGGCTTTGTTCATTCCTTTTCATTCTTTTTTCTCTAATCTTGTCTTCATGCTTTATTTCATTAAGTTGACCTTCAATCTCTGATATCCTTTCTTCCACTTGATTGATTTGGCTATTGATACTTGTGTATGCTTCACGAAGTTCTCATGCTGTGTTTTTCAGCTCCATCAGGTCATTTATGTTCTTCTCTAAGCTGGTTATTCTAGTTAGCAATTCATCTAACATTTTCTCAAGGTTCTTAGCTTTCTTGCATTGGGTTAGAACATGCTCCTGTTGCTCAGAAGAGTTTGTTGTTACCCACCTTCTGAAGCCTACTTCTGTCAATTCATCAAACTCATTCTCTGTCCAGTTTTGTTCCCTTGCTGCCGAGGAGTTGTGATCCTTTGGAGGAGAAGAGGCATTCTGGTTTTTGGAATTTTCAGCCTTTTTGCACTAGTTTTTCCTCATCTTTGTGGAGTTATCTACCTTTGATCTTTGATGTTGGTGACCTTTGGATGGAGTTTTTGTGTGGACGTTCTTTTTGTTGATGTTGATGCTATTTCTTTCTGTTAGTTTTCCTTCTAACAGTCAGGCCCAGCTGGGCACGGTGGCTCATGCCTGTAATCCCAGCACTTTGGGAGCCTGAGGCAGGTGGATCACAAAGTCAGGAGATCAAGACCATCCTGGCCAACATGGTGAAACCTCATCTCTACTAAAAATACAAAAATTAGCTGTGTGTGGTGGCATGTGCCTGTAATCCCAACTACTCGGGAGGCTGAGGCAAGAGAATCGCTTGAACTTGGGAGGCGGAGGTTGCAGTGAGCTGAGATCACGCCATTGCACTCTAGCCTGGCAACAGAGCGACATTCCATCTCAAACAAACAAACAAACAAATGAAAAAACAGGTCCCTCTGCTGCAGGTCTGCTGGAGTTTGCTGGAGGTCCACTCCAGACCCAGTTTTTTTTGGTATCACCAGCAGAGGCTGCAGAACAGCAAAGATTGCTGCCTGTTCCTTCCTCCGGGAGCTTCGTTCCAGAGGGGCACCCATCAGATGCTAGCCGGAGCTCTCCTGTGTGAGGTGTCTGTCAACCCCTGCTAGGAGGTATCTCCCGGTCAGGAGGCACGGGGGTCAGGGACCCACTTGAGGAGGCAGTCTGTCCCTTAGCAGAGCTCAAGTGTTGTGCTGGGAGATCCGCTGCTCTCTTCAGAGCCGGCAGGCAGGAACGTTTAAGTCTGCTGAAGCTGCACCCACAGCCACCCCTTTCCCCAGGTGCTCTGTTCCAGGGAGATGGGAGTTTTATCTATAAGCCCCTGACTGGGGTTGCTGCCTTTCTTTCAGAAATGCTCTGCCCAGAGAGGAGGAATCTAGAGAGGCAGTCTGGCCACAGCAGCTTTGCCAAGCTGTGGTGGGCTCCGCCGCATTTGAACTTCCTGATGGCTTTGTTTACACTGTGAGGGGAAAACCACCTACTCAAGCCTCAGTAATGGCGACCCCCCTTCCCCCACCAAGCGCTGGCATCCCAGGTCAACTTCATACTGCTGTGCTGGCAGCGGGAATTTCAAGCCAGCGGATCTTAGCTTGCTGGGCACCATGGGGGTGGGATCTGCTGAGCAAGACAACTTGGCTCCCTGGCTTCAGCCCTCTTTCCAGGGGAGTGAACGGTTCTTTCTCACTGGTGTTCTAGGCACCACTAGGATATGAAAAAAAACCTCCTGCAGCTAGCTCGGTGTCTGCCCAGTTTTGTGCTTGAAACCCAGGGCCCTGGTGGTATAGGCACCCGAAGGAATCTCCTGGTCTGTGGGTTGCAAAGACCATGGGAAAAGCGTAGTATCTGGGCCGGAATCCACAGTTCCCCATGGCACAGTCCCTCAAGGTTTCCCTTGGCTAGGGGATGGAGTTCCCCAACCCCTTGCGCTTCCCATGTGAGGGAATGCCCCACCCTGCTTCGGCTCACCCTCCATGGGCTGCACCCACTGTCTAACCAGTCCCAATGAGATGAGCCAGGTACCTCAGTTGGAAATGCAGAAATCACCTGCCTTCTGCGTTGATCTCACTGGCAGCTCCAGAGTGGAGCTGTTCCTATTCAGCCATCTTCAAGAAATATATTTTTAAATGACTAAATATAAGGACATTTTCATTCAACACTCCTTTTTTTGAAACCCTCTGAAATCAAGAAAAATAATAAAGTTAAGAGGAAACTTCTGCTTCATTATAACAATGAAATTGGACACAACTTGAAATATGAGGTATTAATAATTTGAGGCTGGTGGCTCAGTCCTTTAGTCCCAGCCCTTTGGGAGGCCAAGGCAGGAAGATTTCTTGAGGCCAGGAACAATGTAGCCCATACATACATTTTTAGTATTTTTGTATACTAAAAATTAAAAGCATTAGCCAAGTGTGGTGATGCATGCCTGTAGTCCCATCTACTTGGAAGGCTGAAGCTGGAGGATCACTTGAGTCCAGGAGTTCAAGGCTGCAGTGAGCTACGATCATGCCACGGCACTACAGTCTGGGTGACAGGGTAAGACCCTGTCTACAAAAAAAATGAAAAAGTATTTGAGACAGATACCATGACATTTGAAGAAAATTTAGAGCAGATGTTAGGAACTATACACACAGGCTATGAATTTTGCACAAAATAATTTCAGTCCTAAAAAACCCATAAAATAGTATTACCTATTAGAGAGAAGCAGAAACTATCCTCATAGATACCCACTTGTACACTACACAGTGGCAAGAAGGTGTTGCTGAAGGAGAAGACAATTTCTTTTTTTTATGTTTAATTTTTTTTTTTTTTGAGATAAAGTCTCTGTCACCCATGCTGGAGTGCAGTGGCATGATCTCAGCTCACTGCCACCTCCGCCTCCAGGGTTCAAGTGATTCTTGTGCCTCAGCCTCCCAAGTGGCTGGGATTACAGGTGCCCCCGCCCCCACCACGCCCAGCTAAGTTTTGTATTTTTTGTAGAGACGGGGTTTTGCCATGTTGGCCAGGCTGGTCTTAAACTCCTCACCTCAAGATATCCGCCTGCCTCAGCCTCCCAAAGTGCTAAGATTGCAGGTGTGAGCCACTACAACCAGCCAGAAGCCAATTTTATTGTCACTGGCATAACCTCCTAGCCAAGGAACACCGCAGATTGTGATCTGGGGTAAAGGCAAAGTGAAAGCAAACATCGCCAGAGAGCACCAGGGCAGCCCTACAATTCATGGGCTCCTTTCCACTAATCACACTCACCAGCAAAATCTTGAGAAATTGTGGCAGCCACGTCCTGGGGCAAAGCGTGCAATGAAGTTGGTAGAGGGCTTTCAGAGAAGCCTGAATTAAAGCTGCAGGCTGTCCTCAGTGTACTTTCCTGTTCCCCCTCCTAAGATTCTTCAGGGAACAGCCAGCCTTGTTCAAGTATAATAATAAGTAGAAAGGCACTACCCCAGAATCTATGCTTGAGTGTGAGTGGGGAAAGGATTGCAAGAAGAAGAAAAGGAACATAAGCAAACAGATGCATTGTGCATATCATAAGGGGTATCATTCAAAAAAATTAGCAGCTAGAGCTTGGGTAATTGTTCTCTGTAGAGTCAAAGAAATTACAGGCAACATATTTTTGTTAAGTTTGCTGAAAGCAAAGGTGGGCAAATCGTAGTCCATGGGCCCTGTAACTGTTTTATTGGAACACAGTCATACCCATTTGATTCCATTTTGTCCATGGCTGTTTTGTGCTGCAACAGCAGAGAAACAGAGACCATGTGGTTCACAAACCTAAAATACTTACTATCTGGCTTTAGAAGAAAAAAGTTGTCTGTCCCCTGGCTTAAATAAAGTCACAAAAAGATAAAAAGCAACCTGGTAGTAAACAGGAAAAGTATGGAAGAGAAAAAAACCCTTACAGAAATTGAAACCATGTTACCAACAAAATATAAAATAAATTTTACTAAAACAATCAGGTGAACAGGCTGGAGGAAATCATATAAATTAATATGAAACAAAACCCAAAAATGATTAGCTCGGAGGTGATAGATGTAAAAGATAAAACAAAAGAGATATATGCATAATTGATGTGCATGAAAAAGAAATTGAATAGAAGAGATAAGATATATTCAAAGATAAATAGAAGAAATAAATATATAACTAGAATCTGCAAATTGAAAGAATAGATAATATCCTAGAAAACTGATTCAGAATGATTAACACAAGACTAGGAGCTGTTCGATTTTATATTGTTTCTAGGGAAGAGAAACATTAACCCCAACCTGGAGTTTTTAGCTGTGTATTCCTGGCTAGAGTTAAAAGATAAAGGGCAAAACAAATTTTGACATTGCCTCTTTCTTTCAGTACATATGGTGTTGATATAGAATGATATGTTAGCAAAGAAAGAAGCAAGAGCTATATGGCTTTCTGGGTTGTGTTCTTTTATTTTTGGTCCTTTGATTAATTTATTATCTTTTTTTTTCTGTTCAGTAACGTCGTATCTTTAAAACGTCTAAAAGTCCCTTAATCTAAGGAATCCGTGTGACACAGCGTTTTTGCCCAGGAAGAAAATAGACATAGCCATAAGGCCAGACTTTGGTTTCACACTGTTTGTTTTTATTAGTATAGTTTTATTAATTAAAACTAACCCAAAGACCTAAGACCTACCTATGTGAATTCCACAAAGAATAAGGCTTGGCTGACCACAAAACTACTGGAGGTCCTGACTCAAACTAAATACCAGGCTGCCATCATGAAAACAGCTACTAAATAATGTTTAGAGATGAAACGCATGTGAATGGGTACACACTGGGCATCCTTTCTCTGGAACTTTAATTTCCATTTGTTCAAATTTCCATGATTTTTATTAGAGTTATTTCATACATGTTCTCCCCTGAAATGCGTATACATACATAAGTGTGTGTGTGTGTGTGTGCGCGCACACGCATGAGCGTGTGTGTGTGTGTAGTTTTAAGGTTTTTGTGACAGTAGCACGTAAAGCACAAAAGCACCAGGGTGAAAAAGTAACAGTCAAATAGACATAGTTAAACATAACCTTCATTAACAAATCTTGTTATTCATGGATGCCAGCTCAGTTAATAAGTGTTTGTGGCTTGGATACTGAACTGGAGGTTAACGTCGAGGTGGAAGCAATTGTAGAATCCAGATTTTTAAGACAAACACACATCCCACCACAGAAGGCATGCACGGAATCAGGTGTAGTCAGTCGGCTGTGGTGATGCACTTTGAGTGTTCTCCTTCATTGGTCCAGCTCTGAACAGCCACCAGAGCTGGCAGCTTCCCAAGCAGGGGAGTGGCCCTTCCTGAGCCTCCCAAACCACTTCTGCATCCACCCCTCAAATTACCAAATGGGAGACTGTGAGAGAGGAGTATTTTTATTTGACATTTTAAAATTTAAGTTTTGTAGGCTGGGAGCGGTGGCTCACACCTGTAATCTCAGCACTTTGGGAGGCTGAGGCCGGCAGATCACAAGGTCAGGAGTTCAAGACCAGCCTGACCAACATGGTGAAACCCCATCTCTACTAAAAATACAAAAATTAGCCGGGTATGGTGGCGCACAACTATAATCCCAGCTACTCGGGAGTCTGAGGCAGGAGAATCGCTTGAACCCGGGAGGCGGAGGTTGCAGTGAGCCGAGATTGTGCCACTGTACTCCAGCCTGGGCGACAGAGCAAGATTCTGTCTCAAAAAATAAATAAATAAATAAATAAATAAAACTAAAGTTTTATTTTTACTTCTCCAAATTGGATTTGTAGAACAGATAGATTAATTATATACTTACAGAAGAGTACGTGTCCAAATTTAAGTAATATTTATACCCATCTTGACTTGGCCATCAAAAGTCAATGGTCTGGAGTCAGATTTCCCTTGAACTTCATTTGCTTAAAAGCAAAATGAATGCAAGACATGATTTGAAAACTGCCCTGTTTTTTTGGCAATTAAGGGACATTTTTATGTTAAAGAATCTGAAGCCCTGGCACATTCCTTAACTGATTTGCTTTCCTCTCTGTGAGATGGATTAAAAAACAGGAGATTTTTTTCATGTGCACTGGTAATCAGGTCAGGACTGAAAGTAAATAAGTATTTGAGGAAGTGGACAAGTCAGTCACATCCTCAAAGGACACCAAAAGAATGCAGGAAGACTGTCTTTTTCCTCCTTCATTCCTTGAGAGACAAAGAGAGAAGACTGACCTCTAAAACATGTAACCTCAACACTGTTTCTCTAGTCAGAAGCCAAAGCTGGGTGGCGATTTGATCACAGAGTGTGGCCTGGCCATGTCATGGGTCATGTGGTCCAGCATGTGAACAGGAAGGTGAGAACGGGTGAACTTTTGCCTCAGTTGTGCCATCCATCAGGGAATCAATGGAGCACATCAACGTGTGCAGCTGTATAAGGAGGCGGATGGCTGCGTCCTTCTCACACAGGGGCCTTTGTCTCCTGGACATGATCTAGCATTACGACGGGATGCACTCAGCCTCGGCTTTGTGGTGAATTACTAACCCATTATCACACCAGAACACAGGATCATTTATCTTCTAATCCAGAGTGTCACCTGTTCTTCATTTACCAGTCAATAACCATTAATTATGCTCAGTGGAAATTTAAACAAAGCCCTATCCCTCTGTTGAAACCAGTAAACTATTCAGTAATAACAAATAAATCTGGAGTTGTATATCCTTTCTCTTCTCATTCCCAGACTGGAGTCTGGTACAATATGAACTTTAGAGGAAATGCCTAGAAATTGATAGGTCAAAGGCCACAGATAGTCTGATGGAGAAGAAAAGAGCAGATTCTTGGCTCTTGCTCTAGTAAAAGGAGAGGCCCTGACTGATCCCTAGATTCCTGCCGGGAACAAAACAAGCACCAGGGGACCCGGGCCGGTGTTTAAAGTGACCCACCAGTAGCCAACAGTCAAGTTTCTCCAAGTGATCCACCAGTAGCCAACAGTCAAGTTTCTCCAAGTGACCCACCAGTAGCCAACAGTCATGTTTCTCCAAGTGACCCACCAGTAGCCAACAGTCAAGTTTCTCCAAGTGACCCACCAGTAGCCAACAGTCATGTTTCTCCAAGTGACCCACCAGTAGCCAACAGTCAAGTTTCTCCTTTTACATTTTTAGCACGTCCTTGTCTTCTTTCACATGACTAAAAATAGGACTTTTTTGAGACCACTCTAACACAGCGGACTGTTTCTAAAGAAGTAAAATAAGCTGAGTGGCCCTGAAAGACCTATTTGAGATGTTATTTTTAGAATGGAAATTTGAGTCAAACACATTAAAGTGTATTTACCCCCTTACATCTAATCCCGCAGAAGAACGTTCAGATAGGAATTCTAGCCATAGGCATCATTTAATTTTTCCTAAAAATTCTGAAGGTATTTTGGCAAAAGCCAAAATAAGTTTCTGTGTGTGTGTGTGTGCACGTGTGCCTCTGTGTGTGTCCACGGGTACACTCGTGCGCCCACTTGGGTGAAGTGGGAGGCTCAGCTTAGTTGGGAAGCGGGCCAAAGGGCAGGCCCGATCCCGGTGAAGCCACCATACTGTGTGCATTGGAATTCATTCCAGTGGCTAGACTTGGGACCCTGGTCCGGGACCTAGAGAGAGGTCAGCATTCCCAGACAGATGAGGAGACAGGGTGTTCCAGGCCGCGGGAATTTCACTTGCAGGCACAGACCTACAAGGAGCAGCTGCTCACTAGGCCTCTGCTCGTGCACACAGGCCTTGGTGCCCCTTTCAGAAAGACACCTTGGGGAACTTCTTGACAAACGGTGCCGAGCCTGGGCTGTACTTCAGATCTCATTGCTCTCCTCAGCCCCCAGTGTTTAACAGTGTTCAGGGAGCTACCAAGCCATTGTAGACTCCATCTGCTTGTGTGGACTATCCCAAAACAGTGAACAACTTGTATTTCATGCCTTTTAAAAGCTCATGCTTTATCATTAGTAGTAGTAGTGGTAGTATAACATTTAAAAAGTCTTGTGGCTCAGTTCACCAACCATGATTTCTTAAGGCAAAATGAAATTGCAGGTATTCCATTAATGTGAACAAATATGTCTTCTCGCCAAGATAATTTCTTCCGTCAGTTACTTTATAGAATATCACTGACTTGAAACTATTACCATTGTCCCAACCAGCATGCCACATCTCCAAAGCATATAAAATAGACCAAAATCTTGTCTTCCATATGATTTAAAACAATCTTGTAATAGACCAAAAATACAAAAACATACACAGGAAATAACTTCAGGTAAAAGAGAAATTATTTTAAATTTTATTTTTTAGAAGTTTTCTACAAATTCCAATGAATAAAAAGGAAATTAAACTTTTTTGGTGGCATTTTCTAAGAGAAAATAGGCTGGCTCATTGATTTTAGCAACTTCTTGTTTTTGGCTTATCAAGGAACAACTTAGGGAGACGCAAACCAAACAGTTTTGTTTAAATTTTGCTGGAACGAGAGTTCAATGCACATATCATTGGAGGCTGTGTTATAATTAAGTCCTTACTGTTTTTACCTATTTTATTTTGAGAAGTGGGTGGAAGTGATGAAAAAATAGAGATTGATTTTTTTTTGTTTTGCTTCAACCTTTTTTGAAGAGACATATTCCTGTTGGATTCCTGCTACACTTATTTTTTTTTTTAAATCTTCATCTCCTATCTGTATTAAAAAAAAAAATCTTTAAGGTGCAATTGCGAGATACAGGAACTCCAGGCCTATCTGCTGTTGGTAAAAGCTAACCACGGGGAGCGGGGCTGCGCTGGTGCCACCAGTCAGTATCTTGGACATGCAGTGGCATTTTTGCCCACCAGACTCCTGGCTCCTACTGAGAAAGTGAACCTGTATAGACATCCATTTTTTTTTTTTTTTTTTGAGATGGAGTCTGGTTCTGTCGTCCAGGCTGGAGTGCAGTGGCGCGATCTCGGCTCCCTGCAAGCTCCGCCTCCCGGGTTCACGCCATTCTCCTGCCTCAGCCTCCCGAGTAGCTGGGACTACAGGCGCCCCCCACCACGCCCGGCTAATTTTTTTTGTATTTTTAGTAGAGACGGGGTTTCCCCGTGGTCTCGATCTCCTGACCTCGTGATCCACCCGCCTCGGCCTCCCAAAGTGCTGGGACGACAGGCGTGAGCCACCGCGCCCTGCTAGACATCCATTTTGATGTGGAAGTTGAGCCCCTGGCCTTGAAATGCTGCCTTATGAACCCATTAACTCTGGGATAAATGTTTTCATTGCCTCTCAGACAGCTTTTTTATAATAGTAGTACTCTCCATTACGTGGTTGTTTTTCCATTAATGATTCGCACTTACTTTGTTTTTTGACTAGTACCTTCTCAACTTTATTGTTCAAAAATTAAGTTCTACTTTTGAGGACAAATACCTGTCTTTAAATGGTTTTTTTCCTTGACTACTATCTATGATATGAAGAAAAATTAAACAGTGCTTTTAGAACTGCTCTTTTTGTAAATAATACCATAAAAAGGTTATTTGCCATAGACACTGCTTCACATCACATTCCTCTACGTTGTGGTCTGAGGACCTGCACTATGAGAATCACCTGGGATGTTAAGGATAAATATTCTGAGAGAGAATCTCCAGGCCTCTGAGCCCACCCCTCTACGGCTGCAGCCCTGGCATCCACACCAAGAAGTTCCTCATGTTATTCGGATACTCAGTAAAAGTTGGGAGCCATTGCTGTTGTGCTTAGAATATGCTATGAAATTCATGCTCATGTTCCAGCTGTCGATGTCCATATCTGATTATGTGCACTGGAAAACAATGTGTGGCCACTGAGTGTGACTTCAAAGTGAACTTGCCTCTCTTTCCCTCTAGGCTATGTGGTTGATGTTGCAGAATGATGAGCCGGAGGACTTCGTTATAGCTACTGGGGAGGTCCATAGTGTCCGGGAATTTGTCGAGAAATCATTCTTGCACATTGGAAAAACCATTGTGTAAGTATACCTGAGAAATGACTACTTGTAGCTCTCTGGCAGGTATGCACCTGAGCTTGCTGAAGCCTCGGTTCTGGCTGTCATCTTCCCCCTTCACTCTCCTGAAGAGCAATACAGAAAGTTTCAGTGTAGAGTGGGGCCTTTGCTCTGCTCTGCATCCAGCCCTACTTGTGTTATTTGTCAGATGTTGGTCAGCATCTAAACCAAGTTTTTCCACATTTCTTTCATCTTTCTTTTAAGATGTTTTTGGCCAGGCGCGGTGGTTCACGCCTGTAATCCCAGCACTTTGGGAAGCCGAGACAGGAGGATCATGAGGTCAGGAGTTCAAGACCAGCCTGACCAACATGGTGAAACCCCATCTCTACTACAACTACAAAAATTAGCTGGGCGTGGTGGTGCGCGCCTGTTATCCCAGCTACTCAGGAGGCTGAGGAAAGAGAACCGCTTGAACCCGGGAGGCAGAGATTGCAGTGAGCTGAGATCATGCCATTGCACTCCAGCCTGGGTGAAAGAGCAAGACTCCATCTCAAAAAAAAAAAAGAAAGATGTTTTTACTTTCATTTATTTTTAAATACTATTTTATTTTACTTTTTTTAGTTTTAAATGTTTTGTCTCAATATAAGCACCTTCTTTTTTTTTTTTTTTTTTTTTTTTTTGAGACAGAGTCTTGCTCTGTTGCTCAGGCTGGAGTGCAGTGGTGCGATCTTGGCTCACTGCAACCTCCACCTCCCAGGTTCAAGCAATTCTCCTGCCTCAGCCTCCCAAGTAGCTGGGATTACAGGCATGCCCCACCATGCCCAGCTAATTTTTGTATTTTTAGTAGAGATGGGGTTTCATTGTGTTGACCAGGCTAGTCTTCGAACTCCTGACCTCAGGTGATCCACCCGCCTTGGCCTCCCAAAGTGCTGGGATTACAGGCATGAACCACCACGCCTGGCCAAAAACATCTTAAAAGAAAGATGAAAGAAATTTGGAAAATTTTCCAAATTTCTTTCATCATGTTATGTGAAAGAAGCCAGACACAGAATGACAAGTACTGAATGATATCACTCCTGTGAAATCTAAAGAAAGATGATAGAGAAGCAGAGAGTAGAATGGTGCTTACCAGAAGCTGAGGAAGGGATGGGTGGAAAGAGGCTGGGGAGAGAATGGTAAATGGGTACAAAGTAACAATAAGATAGGAGAAATAAGTTCTGGTATTCTGTTGTACAATAGGGTGTCTAAGGTTAACAATACCTATTGTATATGTCAAAATAGCTGGAAGAGAGAATTTTTAATGTTGTCACCAGAAAGAAATATGTGCATGAGCTGATAGAGATACACTAACTACCCTGAATGGATCATTATACAACATATACATGTGTCAAAATATCAAAATGTACCCCATAAATGTGTACAATTATAATGTGTCAATTAAAATTTTAAAAACAAAAATAAGAACACTCAGAAAAAGAGATACTGCCCAATTATTTTGTGAACATTTTGTCTCAATATACTTCCAATTTTATGAAAAATATTGACAATTCGTGGCCAAGAGTTACATAAATTTGTTTTGCATGAAAACTTTGTGCAGGAAACTAATGACATTAATTATAGAAAATTAAGGCAAAAATAAGATCTTTTTCAAATTTTACGTATAATATGGGGAGTTGGAAAATAGCATATAGATAGGAAGCAAGAAGATATAAAATAATCTTTGAAGTGTAATTTGGTTATGTTGATTCTTTTGGCCTTCTATTTTATTTTTTAAAGAAGATACCTCATTTTTCAAAAAAAAAAATTGGCCTTCTTCTCTTGTGGACTGAAAAATGCATTGTTGGATTGATTATGTTTGGAATTGAGGGTTTTTTTATACTTTTCAAATATAAAATTTATGTTGCTTCTAAGTAACCCTCCTTTTTTTTTTTTTTTGAGACGGAGTCTCACTCTGTCCCCCAGGCTGGAGTGCAGTGGCACGATCTTGGCTCACTACAACCTCCGCCTTCTGGGTTCCAGTGATTCTCCTGCCTCAGCCTCCCAAGTAGCTGGGATTACAGGCATGGACCACCACGCCCATCTAATTTTTGTATTTTTAGTAGAGACGGGGTTTTACCATATTGGCCAGGCTGGTCTCAAACTCCTGACCTCAAGTGATCCGCCCACCTCGGCTTCCCAAAGTGCTGGGATTACAGGCATGAGCCACCGCACCTGGCCCAAAAATTTTAATTAAAACGTATAGTTTAGCAGAAATTAATATCTGCCACTCTCATTAATTACTTTTTTTAATAACTCTCTAACATATTTTAACAAATTTATATTGTATATGTGAATAACACAGATTATACTTAAACAAGTTTAATGAGAAAAATAAGATGTAAGCATAACATCTTATTCTTTAAAAAATATGTGCACTTTTGTTTATGTTCTCTGTAGGAATCAAACATGACATTTTATTATTAGGAGTGTCCTGTTATGCTCCAAAAGTTGCGAAGGATGATACGCATGAATTATTTTTTAAATGTGTGAAGTATCTATGCTAATAAAGGCTTAAGCATAGTGAAACTGTTTAGTACTATATTAGGAAAGGGAGAAAAGTGAATGGACTTTCCCAGCAGTCAGAGTTCTTCTGTTTTTCAGGAACTGAAACTGAACTCAGAGTAGCCTTAGGTACCTGGTGCTCCTTCAGGGCCCCTCTGCTTCTTGGCTCCAGTGCCCTGGGATGTTGCCTCCATCCCTCAGCTGCTCCCCATGGCAGAGGGCAGTCTAGACTGCCTTTCTGGGGACACAGCCTCACACAGTCAAAAGAGGAATAGAACCTTTAAGAACAATCCACCTAGAAAAATCCTGAGGAAGGACTGTGGCTGGCCCTTGTGGGTCCTGCAGTTATCCCTAGACCTGTCGCTGTGGCCAGCGTGGGACTGGATCCCAGGCCTTGGCCTGTTTTCAGGGTGTGAGGATTCTGGGATGAGCAGCCCCACTGAAAGTCCACTGTTTGAATGCGGGGGAGCAGGGTCTTCCCCTATAGCAGGATGCTATTGCAGAAGAACGGCAGGATGTGCTCCAAGACAGACAGAGACAGCCCATGCTCACCGCGGCACGCAGGGAGTGGTTAGGGCGAGCCTGGAGGCATGCCAGGAGCCGCACCCCTACTGTGTTTAATTTCCAGGGCTGGGGCACTATTGCACTGAGAAGGAAACTGAGGCACAGTGCAGTTCAGTGCTCTCCCCAGGTCACACAGCAAGGGAGTAGCAGAGCCAGGGTCTGAAATGAGTATGTTGTGACCCAAGACGCTCCTCTTTCCTTTATGTGCACTTTTTATCCTTCTTGTTCATATGCTGTCAAAAAAAACTTTGTGATAGGATATTTGCAGTGAACACAGACCCAGGTCTTCATGCCTGTGGGCATCGTCTCCTTCCCAGGTTATCCTCAGTGCTCTCAACAGCTGACGGTGCTCTGTAAATACTTAATTAAGCACAAGTGGATATCCCAAAAGCCAGCTTATCCAGAAAGTCCTCCCAGAAACACCCACTGTCATCCTGATTTCCGCAGATTTCATGGTTAGCCTTATTCCCTCTCATATGGTGGGGACAGCTTGAGGGAAACCACCATGCTTCCTCCCTAGAGGCTTGTTGGAGCTGTCCAGCTAAGGATGAGGAGGATCTGCATTCAGCCGAGAACATGGAGAGGGAGAGGAGCGATTGATTTGAGTCTTAGAATCAGCGGGATTTGGTGAACAGCCAGATGTAGAGGGTGAAGGACAGCCAAGCTCTCTAGTCTCATTAGCATTGCCATTAATTAAGCTAGAAAGCTTTCTGCTAGCTCAGAGTTCTACTTGTTGTGCTTTGTGTCCTTGCCTCATATTACATGAGGCTGTACCGTATCAGACACACCAATCAGCATCTGGAACATTCTCACTTTTGCTATTCTAAGCTCTGCTGTCTCTTCCCATTTTTGTTATCGTTTTTAAAATTTATCCGTTGTAATGTTCTCCGAAAAGGCTTGACACGTGTCGCCATCTGTATATTTAGAATCGACACAGATATTTCCTCTTGAAGTCTTTGACATCACTTGAGTAATTTGAATAATTTTTGTTTTGCATTTATTAGAAAATAGCACATTAATTTGAGTTTGGGTTAGTAGAAGATATTCGGGGAAGCAGATCAGTACCACATGCAGTCCTGATAAAATGTAAGGTAACGTTTTAAATTCTTACACAGTCATTTGTATTGAGAAAGGCAGCCTTATGACAACTGCTTTCTTTTGATAGCATCTGTGTGTGTGTATGTGTGTGTGTATGTGTGTATATGTGTGTGTGTATGTGTCTGTGTGTGTGTATGTGTATCTGTGTGTGTATGTGTGTATGGGTGTGTGGTGTGTGTGTATATGTGTGGTGTGTATGTGTGTGGTGTGTGTGTGGTATGTGTGTATGTGTGTGGTGTATGTGGTGTGTGTGTGTGGTGTGTGTATGTGTGTATGTGTGTCTGTGTGTGTGGTGTGTTTGTGGTGTGTGTGTATGTGTGTGTATGTATGTGTGTATCTGTGTATGTGTGTGTGGTGTGTATGTATCTGTGTGTGGTGTGTGGTGTGTATGTGTGTGGGGTTGCGTGTGTATGTATGTGTGTATGTGTGCATATCTGTGCGCGTATCTGTGTGTGTGGTGTGTCTTTGTGGTGTGTGTGTATGTGTGTGTATGTATGTGTGTATGTATGTGTATCTGTGTGTGTGGTGTGTGTGTATGTGTATGTGTATGTGTGTGTGTGTTTGTGGTGTGTCTTTGTGGTGTGTGCGTGTGTGTGTATGTATGTGTGTATGTATATCTGTGTGTGTGGTGTGTGTATGTGTATGTATGTGTGCGTGTGTATCTGTGTGTGTGTTTGTGGTGTGTGTGGTGTGTGTATGTGTGTGTATTTTTGTGTGTGTGGTGTGTGTGTGTATCTGTGTGTGTGGTGTGTATGTGTGTGTATCTCTGTGTGTGTGTGTGTGTGTGTTTGTGTGTGTGTGGAGCACATTGCATTGTTGGGGCTCTTTTTAGTGCTGTGTTTTGTTTTTCCTTTCACATCAACTTACCACTAAGTATGTAGTGTGAAAAGGAAACACTTTTCTCCTACAATTAAGATGATAGTAGGATAACCCAAACAGGCAAATACTTGTCTTGACTAATTTTCTGTCATTAATCTTGTTAAATTTTGAGAAGAGAGTTGTAAGAGTACCCTACAACCAGGTGAGAACCAACATCTGCTGCTTGTTGTCGTTGTGGGAGGTGGGTAATGTTTCAGACATGGAAAGTGTTATTGTAGTCTGTGGTACTGAATTTACATTTTCAGTAAAAGTAACAAGGGCAACATTGTTATACATCAGAAAAGAAACCCATTTCTAAAATCCTCCTGGCAGAGGTAACAAGCTGTTTTGTGCTCATGCACCTTGCTCCCTTCATTTGACACTGTTTCCTGATGGATGGGATTTCTGGACCCTGGGTCCTAAGCTTCATGAAGCCTCTGGAGGCCGATCTTGAAGACAGCTCCTGAGAAGGAAGGCCTGGCAGCAGGTTCCAGGGGGTGGATCCTGCAGCCAGTGTAGCTACTGTAATGCATTCCTCGGGAATTTGCAGAGCTTGGGACTGTCAAACTCACTGTGGGAGAGCACATCCCTCCACTCAGTCAGTTGTTGGTGATGAACAGAACTCTCATGTAATGAGCCATACTTCTAAGGGTTCTATGTAGGGGCAAAGTCAGGAGAAGGAAACTCACTGCAGCTCTGTATTATTCCCTAACCTTTCAATGTGGTGTGTTTAGACCAGCCACCGTTGATCCCTGAGATAGATTTAACTCCCACCTCAGCAGCTTGCCAAAGCTTCTTTTGATGTCCATGCTGTGACCAGGTGGAGTAAAATCTGTGACACTGAGTGATGGAAATATAACTCACCTTCATTCATCGTCACTCAAAATCCCCATTAGAGCTAGAAAAAGCAGTCATGCTGAGAAAACCTGCGTAGAGTCCCATGAGAACTTTCTGGAGAGACTCTAAAGGGACTCACACCTTCAAGAGTATTCACATTATATTTGGTCATCATAAAGAGGTTGGACTTTTCATATAAGCTTCAAGTTACCATTTAAATGAGGTCTTCTTCTCTTTTTCTTCTCGCTTTCTTCCTCTCTGTCTCTCTACCTCCCTCCTGGAAATCTGAATCCTACTATCATTTATGTTTCTGAACTTCTAAGATGCTTAGATTTTTAACCCTTAAAAAACAAAATACTACAACATAAGGTGATGTTGTAGTGCCTTTGTTGGAGCAACAGACTTTTGAATTATTGGCACCTGCAAGATCTAAATAGAGCCCTGATGTCATGCTGGGCTGTGGGTCTGAGGCAACCCTCATTTCATTTCATAGGCAGTTGATGCAATTCACCAGGTCGCGGGCCCATTTTCCTTCTTAACTAAGGGTCTGTTAGATCCTCAAAATAACTGCTGCCTTCATAAGTACCTAAACAGCTGGCACAGCACCTCACACCTCTTAGGTGCTCTATAAATGTGTTATTTGCTCATCTAATTTCCTCTCAATGCCAAACTAATCAAAGAGAATTGAAAGAGATTTCCTAGCCCTGGAGAAATATAGACTCTAATTGGGTGTCAATTAATAAGAACACATTATTTACAAATATCTGTGCAAATATGAAGACATTGTGCAAATTTATTATATTGATACTGAAGTAATAGCCTCACAATCATGATTGGAGTTATGTTTGCAGAAAGTTAGATGTAAGCTGGACCTTGTCCAGATTGGGAGATACGGATGATAGGAAGGAGGAAGACATTCCAGGTGGGTGGGAGGGCATGAGAAAAGGCATGGAGGCAGGAGCTAGTGCATTGTGTGTGGGCACTGGGTAAGCTGATGAGCGAGGGTGGAACAGCCTGGCCACACTGGGCTCGTCAAATGCCTGCTCCTACAGTTCCGTCTGCTTCTCCTGGCCACTTCCCACTCATTCTTCAGGTCTTAGCTTAGGCATCCTCCCTCTGACCAACACCCTGCCTCCACCTAGTCTGTGCTAGGTGCCTACCTCCTGGCTCTGACAGCACCCTGGCTCTCTGCCATCATTCCCTCACAAGACTGTGGTGGCCATAGACTGCAGGCTCCTTAAGGACAGAGACATGTCTAGCTTCCACATACCCGTGTCCTTAGCAACTGGCTTAGCTTACTGGCTGGCACCTAGCGGGTGCTTGGTGAAGATTTGTGGGGATGGGAGGAAGGGAGATGGATAGACACAGTCGTGTAGGTGAAAGAGGTGCAGATGCAGATGGCCCAGAACAGTGGCAGCGACTCTGGGGGTACTTGGGCACTGGTCGTTTTGGCACACCTACTCACTGTGGCCCCTCAGGAAGCCTCTGTAAGTTTTGCTTCCCCCACACAGCAGAAGCTCCATCCTTATCCACTGGGGGTGGCTAATATGCCCCAGTTGGGTAAATATAAATGAAGCAGGCAGCTGGAGCGCATTTAATGAGCTGTGCGAGGTAGCGTGGACACGCTGAGGCTCTTTGAAATGCTAGCTCTGCGTCAGAAGATCTGTTCACTGTCATTTTCACAGCCGAGGAGAGCCATCTCTGGTCTTGTCTTCTTGTTACCATTATCATTATTATTATTTGATCTCTTCAGCTACCCTCAGTAGCACCACCTCGCAAGGCTTTTTCTGTTGAATTCATCTTCCTAGTCTGACTTCCTAGGGATGAAGCATAAGAAAAGGCTGTTTAGAGGGGAGCCTCCCTATTAAGTAATTTCTCAGTCCTACTGCTAAAAAGAAGAAAGCAAGGGAAGTATTGACCAGCTGACCACTCTTACTGAAATTAATGTTTGAGGAGGCCTCCCCACAAAAATGGCCATGCCCTTTTGAGAGGGCACCACACCTTTCTGGCTCAGACCACGTGAAACAGGTGTTGTCTGGGCCCAGGGTGGGGCAGCCCAGAAGCCTGGCTTGGCAGTCTTGGCTCCAGCACCCCTTCCCCACGTGCCATCTGTAAATTGTTCAGCCCTGTGAATTTGTGTTCTTCCATTTATGCACTGCAGATGATGGTACTTGCCTGCCTCTTGGCATATGAATTCAGCAAGTGACATTCATAAGGGCCCCACGATAGAGAAATCACAGAATAGATGTAGGCGTTAATCTTAAGAAGTGCCTTCTACATGAACAGCTGTATAATGGATTTAAATTTCACATTTTTTGTGGTAGATGGTTATTCCTTAACTACAACATAACACCTGGGCTGAGTACTGCCAGAAGCCCCTTACTTAGAATAATTATCATAAATAAGATGGAAGAATTCTAGGCATGGATGGAGGCTAACCAGCCTCCATTTCAGTAGCAATGCAAGAGGCCATACACAGCTAAGGTTCTCATAGATCCAGGGTTCACCGTTTACACTAGCGCTGTATTTTAAATGTTAGAGTGCTCTGTGATTAAAGCAGTGCTTCCCAAGCATAAAAACGGCACCCGCCCTCCTTTCCCCTGTCCCACTAGCAGGTCGCCCCGATGCCCCTTGGAAGAGTGCCTCCTCCTGGCCTATGGCCTCAGCCCTTCTGCCTGCTCAAGAGGCTCAGGCTGCCGCTCAGCCTCCCCACTCAGCCCTGGCCCTCTTTTTTTTTTTTTAAGACAAGAGTCTCACTCTGTCGCCCTGGCTGGAGTGCAGTAGCACGATCTCGGCTCACCGCAACCTCTGCCCCCCAGGTTCAAGCAATCCTCCCACCTCTGCCTCACAAGTACTTGGGACAATGGGTGCACACCACCACCAGGCCCAGCTGGGACAATAGGTGCACACCACCAGGCCCAGCTAATTTTTGTATTTGGAGACCTAACATGGTTTCACCATGTTGCCCCGACTAGTCTCAAGCTCGTGGCCTCAAGTGATCCGCCTGCCTCGGCTTCCCAAAGTACTGGGATTACAGGCATGAGCCACTGCATCTGGCCTCTGGCCCTCCTTTGAGGCTCCCTCTCGTCTTTTATAGAGGCCCCTTCAGAATCGGGGTCCCTCCAGTCACTGCCTGGCCTCTCTCTCCCCCTGTTCTGCCAAAAGGCATCAAGGAGCCACCTCCACACACAGCCTCACCCCATCCATTCAGCTCCCGACACCCTATCCAAGTAGCTTTCTCTGATGTGCCCAGGGCCCTGCTTGAGTCCCTGCATCCTCCTGACATCTGCCCATCATCACAGTTTGGCAGTGCTGACCGCCCTCCTCCCTGGGCTGCTGAGGTCGCATACTTCACCTTGGCCTGCCTCTTCCCAGGGTTGCCTGCTCTGTCTTCTCTGCAGATTTCATCTGCCCACCCTGTTAGTGGCTTCTGTGGTGGTGCAGGATCTGGAATGTTGATGGAGCCAAAGATGTCATCCCCTCCCCATCCAGAGGCAGGGTGACAGGGGAATCCTGTAAGGAAGTGCTGGGTCTGTAGCGGAGCTAGTGTGACAGAATACCCATCTCTGGGGCAGAGCTCAGGCTGGGGTGTGCTGAGGCCCATCTTCTTCGTTGCAGTCTCGCTTTCTCTGCAACGTAGAGGGGCCTGCGGGGAGGGGGTTTGTCACTCACATCTGCTACTTACAAAGCTCACATTTGTAATTCTTTTTTCCCTTCTTTATTAGATGTTTTTGTCCAGTTACCCCAGCACCCTAGTCCTCTAATCATTCTACAGGAGTTCTCACAAATCCCTGCTGTCTCCTACCCCTGCTTCCTCCCTGCCCATTTCCCTGGCTAAGCCCATCTGCTAGGGAATGTTCTGTGCTCTGCTGTTTGGGGTGCTCTGTGGGCCCTTTCCGACATACAGAAATGTTTGTTGTTCTGCTGTGGTACACTGTCTTATTTAAAGATAATTATTTGTTTCTGGAAATTCTATTGTACTGTATTACAATTATTTTGGCATTTATCTCCATGTTTCCAAATAACATGTCGTTACTGATTTTGCCCTTCTGGGACTTATCTGTCGGCCTCCTCTTATTCAAAACAAGAGTTTTGCCCTCTTCTTCTCCCCTTGACCCATCCCTCCGTTCTCTTAATACTCAATTGTTATGTTTTAATTTTGGAGTCAAGTCAATATTTAGTGCTACATTACCATGACTGACGAATGCTATGCATTCCAGTAAACCACATGTATTTTATCTTTTTTTATTTTTATTTGTTTATTTGTTGAGACGGAGCCTCGCTCTGTCACCAGGCTGGAGTGCAGTGGTGCGATCTGGGCTCACTGCAACCTCCGCCTCCTGGGTTCAAGCGATTCTCCTGCCTCAGCCTCCCGAGTAGCTGGGACTACAGGTGCCCGCCACCACGCCTGGCTCATTTTTTGTATTTTTAGTAGAGACAGGGTTTCACCATGTTGGCCAGGATGGTCTTGAACTCCAGACCTTGTGATCCACATGCCTCGGCCTCCCAAAGTGCTGGGATTACAGGCGTGAGCCACCATGCCCGGCCTATTTTATCTTCTATGTACAATTGTCATTTGTTTACTGTAGAGCTAACAGATGCCTTCTTTCTCTGTTCTATTGATTTTCTGTGTACTTATCACTAACTTTACCCCATACTCTGCTCCAGCTGTGCAAATCACCTCTCTAGGCTCTCAAACCCCGGTTGGGCTGTCAGTCACATCTTCCTGAGGCAGTCCTAGAGCCTCTGACCTGACCCCGTGTGGACTGCCCAGAAGGTCAAACCCTGCTGTGTCACTTCATGCTCCTCTGGGGGGCTCTCTTAGCTGCTATCCTGCACTGAGCCCCTATTTCCTGACATCTTATTCAAGACTACTTGGTTTGGTAAAGCAAAATCATAATTAGTTTCCTGAGAAAGATACCTGGGAAACAAATACTTTGTGACAAAATATACCTGAAAATATCTCTAGTCCAATCTCAAAATTAATAATGTTGCTGGTATATATTTCTAGATTGGAAATAATTTTCCTTCAGAACTTTGAAGGTGTTACTCCATTGCCTATTAATTTGCAGTATCACCATGGGAAACCAAGAGCCATTCTGACTCCCAGTCCCGTCTGTCCCCTCTAGAAAGTGTTTCAGACCTTCTCTTGGTCCCAGTGGTGTGGAACTTGATGTGAGGTGGGTCTAGACCCATTCGTTATTGGAGGACACCCTTTTGGTGTGGAAATGCATGTGCCTCTCTGCTTTGATCAGTATTCTTGACTTATTTTAAGAGAGTTGTTTGCTCTGCTCCATTTTTTCTGTACTCTCTTTCTGGAAATCCTGTTATACTGACTGCCCTGAGGCACTCTAATGTTCTTATCTTCCTTCTTCTGGTTTTTCATGTCTACACCTTTTTGCTCTACTTTCTGGGAGATTAGATTTCCTCAACTGTATCTTCGAAATCATCTCTTGGATTGTGAATTTCTATGTTTTGTTTTCAACTTCTAAAATCCTGTGTTTCACATTATTTCTTTTTATGTAGTATCCTGTTCTTGTTTGTTTGATATCTTTCCTGATCTCTCTGTCTGAGGACGTCAAAGGTGGTAGATGTGGGGATTTTCTTGTTTGTTTTATTTTGTTTCTGATTCTCCTCCCCCTGCTTGTTCTACTTCCTCCACGTTGCTTTTTTTCAGTTTGTTTCTTTGGATTTCTATTTTTCATATATGTGATTTTCCTTATATATTTCCTGTCTCGTAATACTTGGTTTTCTGCTTCTTTAAAAGTGGGGGGCCTAAAAAGCTACTTGTGAGTTTTGAGAGCATAGTTAGATCTTGTGGCTATTTTATTATAAGAGGACTTGACGGGGCCTTTTAGTTGGAGAATCTCTGATGCCCAGAGGAGCCTCCCCAGTGTCCTCATTGGAAGGAAATAGGCCTGACTGTCAGCCCACAGAGAGCTGTGTGGTGGGCCTCAGTATTCATCGTGCATACAAGCACCTAATTTCCTCTGTCTTCAGCATGGTGACCCACTCTTCACTGAGCCTGTAGCCTTCAGTCCAGCCACCTTCTACCTCAGGGAGGGTGAGGCAGTGAGTGTCGGGGAGGGAATCAGGCCCCAGACTGCTGCCTATGGAGATTTGCAATCAGGTCTCACTTCCTGAGCATTTGGGAACTTCTGCAAGTGTAAATTGGGGCCATTCTCAGCTCTCCCACTGTTGGTTTAGGAGACTTTTCTAGGACTTCTGCTAAGTCCTTTAACACTCATCCATCTGCTTTCCAGCTTCCAGAATTTGGTTTCTCACATCTCTTTCCTGCCCTCTTAGCTCATGTGAGTTTATTCCTTTTTTGAAAGGGGTCTGCGGAAGGAGCAAAAGTGTGTGAAAACCACCATCTTTATCCAGAAGCTAATGCTTCCTCCAGGCCTGCCTTATGGCACTGACTAAATTTTAGCTCCTGCAGCTTCCTACTTCCATACCCTAATTAAATCGCCTTTCTTCAGAATAATCCCTGAGCGCTTTTATGATATTTGGGTCACTACGAGGAGTGTGTTGCCCCCGCCCCACTTAGCTCTAATAGTCCCCAAACTTGACTCATGGTCACTACAAGGAGTGTGTTGTTCCCCCGCCCCCACCAACTTAGGTCTAATAGCCCCAAACTTGACTCATGTGGCTGACTTTGCTTTTGTTGCTCCTTCAAAGGAATGCCGAGTTGAGTAGATTTTCATAGCGCTTTGTCTTGCCTTATTGTCCTTGATTCTGTTATTCTTCAGTGCTTTCTATTGCTATTTAATGCTTATTAGGAGCCAACAATTTATTTTAAAAATTGAATTATACAGGATCCCTGCTCGGTGAGCTGTTGATCTCAATTCGTGGGTAGTAACTCTTGTTAATTAACCGAATCCTCTCCTCTCTGTCAAGCCACCGTCACTTCATTAACAGAGCAGCCCTGCTTCAAGTCGTAACATCACTTGTTAGGACATGTTAGCTGTTACCTTTTACTTGTTAATACAAGTGTTTCATGTATTGTTGTAACTGAATGTTTTTTGGCACTTGGCCGAAACTTTTGCTTACTGCCCTCATTCAGACCTGGTGCAAATTAGAAAGTGGTTTTTGCCAACTCAATTCAGCTTTGAGCCATTTCCTGATTACATTTGCTCATTCAATGTAGCTATATTAATTGTAGAGGGCAATGCCATGCCCTTAGAGACTGTTTTGACTGTAGACAGCATTTGCAAGATGCAAGTTCAGCAGACAGCGTTCAGACAGTGGCAAGAAAGTCGTGCAGGGGAGCTGGTGCCTGTTGAGTGCCAAAGTAGCACCAGACCCAAGTCTGACTTTCAGGCTGTATTTAATAAACCCCTCAGAGAGGGAGTGTTTCTCCTTCAGCCTTTTCCCATTTCAGCTAGTGTTACAAATCCCAAATGTGAGTCTATGACCAGCAAAGCAATCAAAGAGAATCAGTAGTAGACACTAAAATTCAAGCAGTCTAGCCGTGCAGGCCACTGCTATAAACAGGAATTAAATGCTTTCCTTCAGCTGAGGGTGAGGCGATACCATTAACCTGATCGGCCGAAGCAGGAGTGGGCAACTGGAGCCTGTGGGCCAAATCCCAGCTGAGGCCCTTTTGGTTTTGTTTTTGGTTTTTTGTTTTTTGTTTTTTTTTTTTACTGTCCTGGAGGTAAGGACAGGTTTTACAGTCTTAAAGCGTGGTTTAAAAAAAGAAGAAAATAATAAGGAAGAAAAAATAAGAGGAGGAAGAAGAAACAGAAAAAGAAAGAGGAGAAAGGAAAAATATGTAACAGAGACTATATGTGATCTGTGAAGCTTTAAGTATTTACTGTCTGGCTCTTCACAGAAACAGTTTACAGACCCCACCAAAGTCTAAAGACCCCTCAGGCACGGCCTCAGTCCTCTCCTGACTCACACGCTCCCTCCTAAAACAAGAAAAGCTCTCCAAGTCTTTACCAAGGCTTTGTCGATTTAAATATGTGTGTGTGTTTGTGTGTGATTTTTTAAAAATTGAATTATAAATAGATTTGAATCACCAGTTCTCATGGTTGTGGCATTTGAGATTTACCAGTGGAAGAACAGTGGAATATTGGTGCGCACATAAGTCAGCGTGGCCAGCTACAGGCGAAAAATCAGTCAGCAGAATTGTAAATGGTATTTCTGTTAACCCTTTGACTTGGTTGGAGGTACTATCACGCAAGTATCTGCTGAACTTGTTTCTCTTTGCGAAGAACGAAATGTGAGCAAAAATAGATCAAACATGCCTGTGAAATACAAATATACTTTCATCTACTGAAAGCCTAACCAAAATTTTTTTAAAAGGTTCTACTTAAACAATTAACTTTAGAATTAGATAGTTATTTAAAAAAAATAATAATAATGACTTAACCAATTGTCCTCCCTTCCTGTGGATATTAGCTAAGATTTGGTCTTTATCCACAGGAGATGTATGAGGGTCATCATTCCTTCAGGTTATGTTTTAAAACGCTTTCAATCTCCATGCTCCAAAACATCCACTTACCGTTTCCCGGTGAATTTTCCAAAAACTTAGCTCTGATCCTACCTACCAATTCCCTTGCTTTGAAATTCTTAGACCTATATGACCTGCCAAATTGATCTAATCAACATTAAGGAAGAAATGAAAACAAATTACCAAACATCCCTTTTTGTGTTAATTAATTAATATAAAAGTCATGGGGAAATGACCAGTTGTACAGCTGTATATTATTCAACATACTGCGCTATATAATTCTCTGTGTCACAGGACAGTTTTCATACTTGCCTTGAGTCCATTGGTAAATTCAGCACACTAACAAACTGATTATTCCTCCAACGGTGAAATATTTCCCCTTTGCTACCAAGAAGTGATTTGACAGAACATTCAGGTGATTCATCAGAAATAAGGCTTATGAGGTCAGTTTATGTCTTTAATTCTCAACCTATTCCAAAATATAACTGGGATCAACATTTAATGTTCATTTTCAGTGGTGCCTGTGGCTTACATAGGCAGGTAACTAATTTTGTCTTCCCCATGATGACTCTGACCCCGAGAGCACACAGAATTGTCCTGTGTCCATAGGATTCATCTCCAGCTCATAATGCAAACCAGTTCTAAGGATAAACAGTAAAGTCAAACATGTCATACTTGTTAATTTCTTCTCTTTCTTTGCAAAAAAGTTCATATGTAAAAATAAATAACCCAAATTCTGTAATATTATAGACATCCAGACGTTACCATTAAGTGAGTGGCTTGATTTATAAAAAATGAGAACATAAAATGGATAAGTAGAATTTTAGCGAGAAGGTAATCTCGAAGCATATGAGCTCATCCTGCATAGTGTGGACTTGAGGACTCGCTCCTGGGATCCTTACTGCTGTCAACCTTGGATGTTCAGGGAAGGAAACTTGTGTGCAAACAGTATCCTAGCTAGGTCAGAGGAGGTTATAGGAAAGTAATATTGATATACCCTCACTCAGCAGGAAACAAACAATTAGTTCTGTACTTTTTGGAGGTTTAATCATCTGAGACTTACTAAGGGGGCCCACCATTGACGGGAGAGCAGGAGAACTTGTATGTGATCCAGGGATGCATTGAATGGTTAATTAGGTTACAAAACTTATTCCCAAATGGAATGTGTTGAATTAACTCTGAATATCCCTAAAACTACAAAAGAAAGAAAAAAAAAGGGAAGACAGAAGACATTAATTTATATTAATTAATTTATAATAATTTATTAATTAATAATAATGAATTGACCAAGAATGGTCTAGAGAAATACAAAATCTTTGAAATCCCTGAAAGTTGCCCAATTTTATTTTCTGGCTAATCTGTTCATTTCTAAAGTCTCACTTCTGAATTCGTCATGATTTTCTTGAAAAGGAAAAAAACGCTGCCCTTGCAAAACAGATCTAGAAAGGCTTTGAAAGTCGCCGTTG